>NC_000003.12:93470361-93655574 GCF_000001405.40 Homo sapiens | reverse complement strand
TCTGTCTGGCATTACATGAAGAAATCCCGTTTCCAACGAAGGCCTCAAAGAGGTCCAAATATCCACTTGCAGATTCTGCAAAAAGAGTGTTTCAAAACCGCTCCATTAAAAGGAATGTTGAACTCTGTGAGTTGAATGCAAACATCACAACTCAGTTGCTGAGAATGCTTCTGACTAGATTTTATGGTAAGATATTTCCTTTTCTACCGTAGGCTTCAATGCCCTCTAAATACACCCCTGCAAATTCTACAAAGAGACTGTTTCATAACTGCTCTATAGGAAGAAAGGTTCAACTCTGTGAGTTGAATGCAGAGATCACAACGTGGTTTCTGCGAATGATTCTTTGTAGTTTTTACATGAAGATATTTCGTTGTTAACCGTAGGCTTCAAAGCACTCAATGTATTCACTTGGAACTTTTACAAAAAGAGTGTTAGAAAACTGCTCTTTCCAAAGTAAGGTTCAACTCTGTGAGTTGAATGCACACATAACAATCAAGAAGTTTCTGAGAATTCTTCTGTCCTGGTTTATATGAAAAAATCCCGTTTCCAACGAAGGCCTCAAAGACGTTTAAATATCCACTTGCAGACTTCACAAACAGAGGGTTTCCAAACTGCTCTATGAAAAGAAAGGTTAAACTCTGTGAGTTGAACGCACACATCACAAAGTAGCTTCTGAGAATGATACTGTCTAGTTTTTATACGAAGATATTTCCTTTCTACCATTGGCGTCAAAGCGCTAGAATTCTCCACTTGCAAATTCCACAAAAAGAGTGTTTCCAATCTGCTCTGTCTAAAGGAAGGTTCAACTCTGTGAGTTGAATACACACACACACAAAGAAGCTACTGAGAATTCTTTTGTCAAGAATTATAAGAAGAAATCCCGTTTCCAACGAAGGCCTCAAAGAGTTCCAAATATCCACTTGCACACTGCACAAACTAAGTCTTTCCAAACTGCTCTATGCAAAGAAATGTTCAACTCTGTGAGTTTAATACACACATCACAAAGCAGTTTCTGAGAATGATACTGTCTAGTTTTTATACGAAGATATTTCCTTTTGTACCATTGGCCTCATACTGCTAGAATTTTCCACTTGCAAATTCCACAAAAAGAGTGTTTCCAATCCGCTCTGTCTAAAGGAAGGTTCAACTCTCTGATTTGAATACATACATCCCAAAAGAAGTTACTGAGAATTCTTCTGTCTAGCATTATGTGAAGAAATCCCGTTTCCAACGAAAGCCTCAAAGAGGTCCAAATATCCAGTTGCAGAATTTACAAACTGACTGTTTCCAAACTCATCTATGAAAAGAAAGGTTAAACTCTGTGAGTTGAATGCACATATCACAAAGTAGTTCCTGAGAATGATTCTGTCTAGTTTTCATACGAAGATATTTCCTTTTCCACCAATGGCCTCAAAGTGCTTGAAATCTCCCCTTGCAAATTCCACAGACAAGTGTTTCAAATCTGCACTGTCTAAAGGAAGGTTCAACCCTGTGAGTTGAATACACACACACAGAAAAAAATTCACTGAGAATTCTATTGTCTATCATTACACGAAGAAATCCCGTTTACTACGAAGGCCTCAAGGAGGTCCAAATATCCAGCTGCAGACATTACAAACTGAGTGTTTCCAAAGTGCTCCATGAAAAGAAGTGTTAAACACTGTGAGTTCAATGCACACATCCCAAAGCAGTTTCTGAGAATGATTCCGTCTATTTTTTCTACGAAGATATTTCCTTTTCTGCCGTTGGCCTCAAAGCGCTTGAAATCTCCACTTGCAAATTCCACAAAAAGAGAGTTTCAAATCTGCTCTGTCTAAAGGAAGGTTCAACTCTGTGAGTTGAATACACACCACAAAAAGAAGTTACTGAGAATTCTTCTGTCTAGCATTATATGAAAAATCCCGTTTCCAACGAAGGCCACAAAGAGGTCCAAATATCCACTTGCAGATTCTGCAAAAAGAGTGTTTCCAAACTGCTCTATGAAAAGAAACGTTAAACTCTGTGAGTTGAACGCAAACATCACAAAGTAGTTTCTGAGAATGACTCCGTCTAGTTTTTATACGAAGATATTTCCTTTCCTACCATTCACTTCAAAGCGCTTGAAGTCTCCCCCTGAAAATTCCACAAAAAGTGTTTCCAATCTGCTCCGCCTAAAGGAAGCTTCAACACTGTGAGTTGAATACCCACAACCCAAAGAAGTTACTGAGAATTCTTCTGTCTAGCATTACATGAAGAAATCCCGTTTCCAACGAAGGCCTCAAATACATCCAGATATCCAGTTGCTGACTTTACAAACTGAGTGTTTCCAAACTGCTCTATGAAAGGAAAGGTTAAACACTGTGAGTTGAACACACACGTACCAAAGTAGTTTCTGAGAATGATTCTGTCTAGTTTGCATACGAAGATATTTCCTTTTCTACCATTGGCCTCAAAGCTCTGAAATCTCCACTTGCAAATTCCACAAAAAGAGAGTTTCAAATCTGCTGTTTCTAAAGGAAAGTTCAACTCGGAGAGTTGAATACACACCAGAAAAAGCAGTTACTGAGAAGTCTTCTGTCTAGCATTATATGAAGAAATCCCATTTCCAACGAAGACTTCAAAGAGGTCCAAATATCCACTTGCAGATTCTGCAAAAAGAGTGTTTCGAAACAACTGTATGAAAAGAAAGGTTAAACACTGTGAGTTGAACGCACACATTGCAAAGCGGTTTCTGAGAATGATTCCGTCTAATTATTATACGAAGGTATTTCCTTTTCTATCATTGGCCTCAAAGCGCTTGATACCTCCACCTGAAAATTCCACAAAAAGAGTGTTTCCAATCTACTCTGTCTAAAGGAACGTTCAACTCTGTGAGTTGAATACACACACACAGAAAGAATTCACTGAGAATTCTTCTGTCTGGCATTACATGAAGAAATCCCGTTTCCAACGAAGGCCTCAAAGAGGTCCAAATATCCACTTGCAGATTCTGCAAAAAGAGTGTTTCAAAACCGCTCCATTAAAAGGAATGTTGAACTCTGTGAGTTGAATGGAAACATCACAACTCAGTTGCTGAGAATGCTTCTGACTAGATTTTATGGTAAGATATTTCCTTTTCTACCGTAGGCTTCAATGCCCTCTAAATACACCCTTGCAAATTCTACAAAGAGACTGTGTCATAACTGCTCTATAGGAAGAAAGGTTCAACTCTGTGAGTTGAATGCAGAGATCACAACGTGGTTTCTGCGAATGATTTCTTTGTAGTTTTTACATGAAGATATTTCGTTGTCAACCGTAGGCTTCAAAGCACTCAAAGTATTCACTTGGAACTTTTACAAAAAGAGTGTTAGAAAACTGCTCTTTCCAAAGTAAGGTTCAACTCTGTGAGTTGAATGCACACATAACAATCAAGAAGTTTCTGAGAATTCTTCTGTCCTGGTTTATAGGAACAAATCCCGTTTCCAACGAAGGCCTCAAAGACGTTTAAATATCCACTTGCAGACTTCACAAACAGAGGGTTTCCAAACTGCTCTATGAAAAGAAAGGTTAAACTCTGTGAGTTGAACGCACACATCACAAAGTAGCTTCTGAGAATGATACTGTCCAGTTTTTATACGAAGAGATTTCCTTTCCTACCATTGGCGTCAAAGCGCTAGAATTCTCCACTTGCAAATTCCACAAAAAGAGAGTTTCCAATCTGCTCTGCCTAAAGGCAGGTTCAACTCTGTGAGTTGAATACACACACACAAGGAAGCTACTGAGAATTCTTTTGTCAAGAATTATAAGAAGAAATCCCGTTTCCAACGAAGGCCTCAAAGAGTTCCAAATATCCACTTGCACACTGTACAAACTAAGTCTTTCCAAACTGCTCTATGCAAAGAAATGTTCAACCTTGTGAGTTTAATGCACACATCACAAAGCAGTTTCTGAGAATGATTCCCTCTAGTTTTTATACGAAGATAGCCTTTTCTACCATTGGTCTCAAGGCTCTTGGAATCTCCACCTGAAAATTCCGCAAAAAGCGTGTTTCCAATGCGCTCTGTCTAAAGGAGGGTTCAACTCTCTGAGTTGAATACATACATCCCAAAGGAAGTTACTGCAAATTCTTCTGTCTACGCGATTATGTGAAGAAATCCCGTTTCCAACGAAAGCCTCAAAGAGGTCCAAATATCCAGTTGCAGAATTTACAAACTGACTGTTTCCAAACTCATCTATGAAAAGAAAGGTTAAACCCTGTGAGTTGAATGCACATATCTCAAAGTAGTTCCTGAGAATGATTCTGTCTAGTTTTTATACGAAGATATTTCCTTTTCCACCAATGGCCTCAAAGTGCTTGAAATCTCCCATTGCAAATTCCACAGACAAGTGTTTCAAATCTGCACTGTCTAAAGGAAGGTTCAACCCTGTGAGTTGAATACACACACACAGAAACAAATTCACTGAGAATTCTATTGTCTATCATTACACGAAGAAATCCCGTTTACTACGAAGGCCTCAAAGAGGTCCAAATATCCAGCTGCAGACATTACAAACTGAGTGTTTCCAAAGTGCTCTATGAAAAGAAGTGTTAAACACTGTGAGTTCAATGCACACATCCCAAAGCAGTTTCTGAGAATGATTCCGTCTATTTTTTCTACGAAGATATTTCCCTTTCTGCCGTTGGCCTCAAAGCGCTTGAAATCTCCACTTGCAAATTCCACGAAAAGAGAGTTTCAAATCTGCTCTGTCTAAAGGAAGGTTCAACTCTGTGTCTTGAATACACACCACAAAAAGAAGTTACTGAGAATTCTTCTGTCTAGCATTATATGAAAAATCCCGTTTCCAACAAAGGCCACAAAGAGGTCCAAATATCCACCTGCAGACTCTGCAAAAAGAGTGTTTCCAAACTGCTCTATGAAAAGAAACGTTAAACTCTGTGAGTTGAACGCAAACATCACAAAGAAGTTTCTGAGAATGACTCCGTCTAATTTTTATACGAAGATATTTCCTTTTCTACCGTTGGCCTCAAAGCGCTTGAAGTCTCCCCCTGAAAATTCCACAAAAAGTGTTTCCAATCTGCTCAGCCTAAAGGAAGCTTCAACTCTGTGAGTTGAATACCCACAACCCAAAGAAGTTACTGAGAATTCTTCTGTCTAGCACTACATGAAGAAATCCTGTTTCCAACGAAGGCCTCAAATACATCCAGATATCCAGTTGCTGACTTTACAAACTGAGTGTTTCCAAACTGCTCTATGAAAGGAAAGGTTAAACACTGTGAGTTGAACACACACGGTACCAAAGTAGTTTCTGAGAATGATTCTGTCTAGTTTGCATACGAAGATATTTCCTTTTCTACCATTGGCCTCAAAGCTCTGAAATCTCCACTTGCAAATTCCACAAAAAGAGAGTTTCAAATCTGCTGTTTCTAAAGGAAAGTTCAACTCTGAGAGTTGAATACACACCAGAAAAAGCAGTTACTGAGAAGTCTTCTGTCTAGCATTATATGAAGAAATCCCATTTCCAACGAAGACTTCAAAGAGGTCCAAATATCCACTTGCAGATTCTGCAAAAAGAGTGTTTCGAAACAACTCTATGAAAAGAAAGGTTAAACACTGTGAGTTGAACGCACACATTGCAAAGCAGTTTCTGAGAATGATTCCGTCTAATTATTATACGAAGGTATTTCCTTTTCTATCATTGGCCTCAAAGCGCTTGATACCTCCACCTGAAAATTCCACAAAAAGAGTGTTTCCAATCTACTCTGTCTAAAGGAACGTTCAACTCTGTGAGTTGAATACACACACACAGAAAGAATTCACTGAGAATTCTTCTGTCTGGCATTACATGAAGAAATCCCGTTTCCAACGAAGGCCTCAAAGAGGTCCAAATATCCACTTGCAGATTCTGCAAAAAGAGTGTTTCAAAACCGCTCCATGAAAAGGAATGTTGAACTCTGTGAGTTGAATGCAAACATCACAACTCAGTTTCTGAGAATGCTTCTGACTAGATTTTATGGTAAGATATTTCCTTTTCTACCGTAGGCTTCAATGCCCTCTAAATACACCCTTGCAAATTCTACAAAGAGACTGTTTCATAACTGCTCTATAGGAAGAAAGGTTCAACACTGTGAGTTGAATGCAGAGATCACAACGTGGTTTCTGCGAATGATTCTTTGTAGTTTTTACATGAAGATATTTCGTTGTCTACCGTAGGCTTCAAAGCACTCAAAGTATTCACTTGGAACTTTTACAAAAAGAGTGTTAGAAAACTGCTCTTTCCAAAGTAAGGTTCAACTCTGTGAGTTGAATGCACACATAACAAACAAGAAGTTTCTGAGAATCCTTCTGTCCTGGTTTATATGAAAAAATCCCGTTTCCAACGAAGGCCTCAAAGACGTTTAAATATCCACTTGCAGACTTCACAAACAGAGGGTTTCCAAACTGCTCTATGAAAAGAAAGGTTAAACTCTGTGAGTTGAACGCACACATCACAAAGTAGCTTCTGAGAATGATACTGTCTAGTTTTTATACGAAGATATTTCCTTTCTACCATTGGCGTCAAAGCGCTAGAATTCTCCACTTGCAAATTCCACAAAAAGAGTGTTTCCAATCTGCTCTGTCTAAAGGAAGGTTCAACTCTGTGAGTTGAATACACACACACAAAGAAGCTACTGAGAATTCTTTTGTCAAGAATTATAAGAAGAAATCCCGTTTCCAACGAAGGCCTCAAAGAGTTCCAAATATCCACTTGCACACTGCACAAACTAAGTCTTTCCAAACTGCTCTATGCAAAGAAATGTTCAACTCTGTGAGTTTAATACACACATCACAAAGCAGTTTCTGAGAATGATACTGTCTAGTTTTTATACGAAGATATTTCCTTTTGTACCATTGGCCTCATACTGCTAGAATTTTCCACTTGCAAATTCCACAAAAAGAGTGTTTCCAATCCGCTCTGTCTAAAGGAAGGTTCAACTCTCTGATTTGAATACATACATCCCAAAAGAAGTTACTGAGAATTCTTCTGTCTAGCATTATGTGAAGAAATCCCGTTTCCAACGAAAGCCTCAAAGAGGTCCAAATATCCAGTTGCAGAATTTACAAACTGACTGTTTCCAAACTCATCTATGAAAAGAAAGGTTAAACTCTGGGAGTTGAATGCCCATATCACAAAGTAGTTCCTGAGAATGATTCTGTCTAGTTTTCATACGAAGATATTTCCTTTTCCACCAATGGCCTCAAAGTGCTTGAAATCTCCCCTTGCAAATTCCACAGACAAGTGTTTCAAATCTGCACTGTCTAAAGGAAGGTTCAACCCTGTGAGTTGAATACACACACACAGAAAAAAATTCACTGAGAATTCTATTGTCTATCATTACACGAAGAAATCCCGTTTACTACGAAGGCCTCAAAGAGGTCCAAATATCCAGCTGCAGACATTACAAACTGAGTGTTTCCAAAGTGCTCTATGAAAAGAAGTGTTAAACACTGTGAGTTCAATGCACACATCCCAAAGCAGTTTCTGAGAATGATTCCGTCTATTTTTTCTACGAAGATATTTCCTTTTCTACCGTTGGCCTCAAAGCGCTTGAAATCTCCACTTGCAAATTCCACGAAAAGAGAGTTTCAAATCTGCTCTGTCTAAAGGAAGGTTCAACTCTGTGAGTTGAATACACACCACAAAAAGAAGTTACTGAGAATTCTTCTGTCTAGAATTATATGAAAAATCCCGTTTCCAACGAAGGCCACAAAGAGGTCCAAATATCCACTTACAGATTCTGCAAAAAGAGTGTTTCCAAACTGCTCTATGAAAAGAAACGTTAAACTCTGTGAGTTGAACGCAAACATCACAAAGTAGTTTCTGAGAATGACTCCGTCTAGTTTTTATACGAAGATATTTCCTTTTCTACCGTTGGCCTCAAAGCGCTTGAAGTCTCCCCCTGAAAATTCCACAAAAAGTGTTTCCAATCTGCTCCACCTAAAGGAAGCTTCAGCTCTGTGAGTTGAATACCCACAACCCAAAGAAGTTACTGAGAATTCTTCTGTCTAGCATTACATGAAGAAATCCCGTTTCCAACGAAGGCCTCAAATACATCCAGATATCCAGTTGCTGACTTTACAAACTGAGTGTTTCCAAACTGCTCTATGAAAGGAAAGGTTAAACACTGTGAGTTGAACACACACGTACCAAAGTAGTTTCCTGAGAATGATTCTGTCTAGTTTGCATACGAAGATATTTCCTTTTCTACCATTGGCCTCAAAGCTCTGAAATCTCCACTTGCAAATTCCACAAAAAGAGAGTTTCAAATCTGCTGTTTCTAAAGGAAAGTTCAACTCTGAGAGTTGAATACACACCAGAAAAAGCAGTTACTGAGAAGTCTTCTGTCTAGCATTATATGAAGAAATCCCATTTCCAACGAAGACTTCAAAGAGGTCCAAATATCCACTTGCAGATTCTGCAAAAAGAGTGTTTCGAAACAACTGTATGAAAAGAAAGGTTAAACACTGTGAGTTGAACGCACACATTGCAAAGCAGTTTCTGAGAATGATTCCGTCTAATTATTATACGAAGGTATTTCCTTTTCTATCATTGGCCTCAAAGCGCTTGATACCTCCACCTGAAAATTCCACAAAAAGAGTGTTTCCAATCTACTCTGTCTAAAGGAACGTTCAACTCTGTGAGTTGAATACACACACACAGAAAGAATTCACTGAGAATTCTTCTGTCTGGCATTACATGAAGAAATCCCGTTTCCAACGAAGGCCTCAAAGAGGTCCAAATATCCACTTGCAGATTCTGCAAAAAGAGTGTTTCAAAACCGCTCCATTAAAAGGAATGTTGAACTCTGTGAGTTGAATGCAAACATCACAACTCAGTTTCTGAGAATGCTTCTGACTCGATTTTATGGTAAGATATTTCCTTTTCTACCGTAGGCTTCAATGCCCTCTAAATACACCCTTGCAAATTCTACAAAGAGACTGTTTCATAACTGCTCTATAGGAAGAAAGGTTGAACTCTGTGAGTTGAATGCAGAGATCACAACGTGGTTTCTGCGAATGATTCTTTGTAGTTTTTACATGAAGATATTTCGTTGTCAACCGTAGGCTTCAAAGCACTCAAAGTATTCACTTGGAACTTTTACAAAACGAGTGTTAGGAAACTGCTCTTTCCAAAGTAAGGTTCAACTCTGTGAGTTGAATGCACACATAACAATCAAGAAGTTTCTGAGAATTCTTCTGTCCTGGTTTATATGAAGAAATCCCGTTTCCAACGAAGGCCTCAAAGACGTTTAAATATCCACTTGCAGACTTCACAAACAGAGTGTTTCCAAACTGCTCTATGAAAAGAAAGGGTAAACACTGTGAGTTGAACGCACACCTCACAAAGTAGTTTCTGAGAATGATACTGTCTAGTTTTTATACGAAGATATTTCCTTTCTACCATTGGCGTCAAAGCGCTAGAATTCTCCACTTGCAAATTCCACAAAAAGAGTGTTTCCAATCTGCTCTGTCTAAAGGAAGGTTCAACTCTGTGAGTTGAATACACACACACAAAGAAGCTACTGAGAATTCTTTTGTCAAGAATTATAAGAAGAAATCCCGTTTCCAACGAAGGCCTCAAAGAGTTCCAAATATCCACTTGCACACTGCACAAACTAAGTCTTTCCAAACTGCTCTATGCAAAGAAATGTTCAACTCTGTGAGTTTAATACACACATCACAAAGCAGTTTCTGAGAATGATACTGTCTAGTTTTTATACGAAGATATTTCCTTTTGTACCATTGGCCTCATACTGCTAGAATTTTCCACTTGCAAATTCCACAAAAAGAGTGTTTCCAATCCGCTCTGTCTAAAGGAAGGTTCAACTCTCTGATTTGAATACATACATCCCAAAAGAAGTTACTGAGAATTCTTCTGTCTAGCATTATGTGAAGAAATCCCGTTTCCAACGAAAGCCTCAAAGAGGTCCAAATATCCAGTTGCAGAATTTACAAACTGACTGTTTCCAAACTCATCTATGAAAAGAAAGGTTAAACTCTGGGAGTTGAATGCACATATCACAAAGTAGTTCCTGAGAATGATTCTGTCTAGTTTTCATACGAAGATATTTCCTTTTCCACCAATGGCCTCAAAGTGCTTGAAATCTCCCCTTGCAAATTCCACAGACAAGTGTTTCAAATCTGCACTGTCTAAAGGAAGGTTCAACCCTGTGAGTTGAATACACACACACAGAAAAAAATTCACTGAGAATTCTATTGTCTATCATTACACGAAGAAATCCCGTTTACTACGAAGGCCTCAAAGAGGTCCAAATATCCAGCTGCAGACATTACAAACTGAGTGTTTCCAAAGTGCTCTATGAAAAGAAGTGTTAAACACTGTGAGTTCAATGCACACATCCCAAAGCAGTTTCTGAGAATGATTCCGTCTATTTTTTCTACGAAGATATTTCCTTTTCTGCCGTTGGCCTCAAAGCGCTTGAAATCTCCACTTGCAAATTCCACAAAAAGAGAGTTTCAAATCTGCTCTGTCTAAAGGAAGGTTCAACTCTGTGAGTTGAATACACACCACAAAAAGAAGTTACTGAGAATTCTTCTGTCTAGCATTATATGAAAAATCCCGTTTCCAACGAAGGCCACAAAGAGGTCCAAATATCCACTTGCAGATTCTGCAAAAAGAGTGTTTCCAAACTGCTCTATGAAAAGAAACGTTAAACTCTGTGAGTTGAACGCAAACATCACAAAGTAGTTTCTGAGAATGACTCCGTCTAGTTTTTATACGAAGATATTTCCTTTCCTACCATTCACTTCAAAGCGCTTGAAGTCTCCCCCTGAAAATTCCACAAAAAGTGTTTCCAATCTGCTCCGCCTAAAGGAAGCTTCAACTCTGTGACTTGAATACCCACAACCCAAAGAAGTTACTGAGAATTCTTCTGTCTAGCATTATATGAAGAAATCCCGTTTCCAACGAAGGCCTCAAATACATCCAAATATCCAGTTGCTGACTTTACAAACTGAGTGTTTCCAAACTGCTCTATGAAAAGAAAGGTTAAACACTGTGAGTTGAACACACACGTACCAAAGTAGTTTCTGAGAATGATTCTGTCTAGTTTGCATACGAAGATATTTCCTTTTCTACCATTGGCCTCAAAGCTCTGAAATCTCCACTTGCAAATTCCACAAAAAGAGAGTTTCAAATCTGCTGTTTCTAAAGGAAAGTTCAACTCTGAGAGTTGAATACACACCAGAAAAAGCAGTTACTGAGAAGTCTTCTGTCTAGCATTATATGAAGAAATCCCATTTCCAACGAAGACTTCAAAGAGGTCCAAATATCCACTTGCAGATTCTGCAAAAAGAGTGTTTCGAAACAACTGTATGAAAAGAAAGGTTAAACACTGTGAGTTGAACGCACACATTGCAAAGCAGTTTCTGAGAATGATTCCGTCTAATTATTATACGAAGGTATTTCCTTTTCTATCATTGGCCTCAAAGCGCTTGATACCTCCACCTGAAAATTCCACAAAAAGAGTGTTTCCAATCTACTCTGTCTAAAGGAACGTTCAACTCTGTGAGTTGAATACACACACACAGAAAGAATTCACTGAGAATTCTTCTGTCTGGCATTACATGAAGAAATCCCGTTTCCAACGAAGGCCTCAAAGAGGTCCAAATATCCACTTGCAGATTCTGCAAAAAGAGTGTTTCAAAACCGCTCCATTAAAAGGAATGTTGAACTCTGTGAGTTGAATGCAAACATCACAACTCAGTTTCTGAGAATGCTTCTGACTAGATTTTATGGTAAGATATTTCCTTTTCTACCGTAGGCTTCAATGCCCTCTAAATACACCCTTGCAAATTCTACAAAGAGACTGTTTCATAACTGCTCTATAGGAAGAAAGGTTCAACTCTGTGAGTTGAATGCAGAGATCACAACGTGGTTTCTGCGAATGATTCTTTGTAGTTTTTACATGAAGATATTTCGTTGTCAACCGTAGGCTTCAAAGCACTCAAAGTATTCACTTGGAACTTTTACAAAAAGAGTGTTAGAAAACTGCTCTTTCCAAAGTAAGGTTCAACTCTGTGAGTTGAATGCACACATAACAATCAAGAAGTTTCTGAGAATTCTTCTGTCCTGGTTTATATGAAAAAATCCCGTTTCCAACGAAGGCCTCAAAGACGTTTAAATATCCACTTGCAGACTTCACAAACAGAGTGTTTCCAAACTGCTCTATGAAAAGAAAGGTTAAACTCTGTGAGTTGAACGCACACATCACAAAGTAGCTTACTGAGAATGATTACTGTCTAGTTTTTATACGAAGATATTTCCTTTCTACCATTGGCGTCAAAGTGCTAGAATTCTCCACTTGCAAATTCCACAAAAAGAGTGTTTCCAATCTGCTCTGTCTAAAGGAAGGTTCAACTCTGTGAGTTGAATACACACACACAAAGAAGCTACTGAGAATTCTTTTGTCAAGAATTATAAGAAGAAATCCCGTTTCCAACCAAGGCCTCAAAGAGTTCCAAATATCCACTTGCACACTGCACAAACTAAGTCTTTCCATACTGCTCTATGCAAAGAAATGTTCAACTCTGTGAGTTTAATACACACATCACAAAGCAGTTTCTGAGAATGATACTGTCTAGTTTTTATACGAAGATATTTCCTTTTGTACCATTGGCCTCATACTGCTAGAATTTTCCACTTGCAAATTCCACAAAAAGAGTGTTTCCAATCCGCTCTGTCTAAAGGAAGGTTCAACTCTCTGATTTGAATACATACATCCCAAAAGAAGTTACTGAGAATTCTTCTGTCTAGCATTATGTGAAGAAATCCCGTTTCCAACGAAAGCCTCAAAGAGGTCCAAATATCCAGTTGCAGAATTTACAAACTGACTGTTTCCAAACTCATCTATGAAAAGAAAGGTTAAACTCTGTGCGTTGAATGCACATATCACAAAGTAGTTCCTGAGAATGATTCTGTCTAGTTTTTATACGAAGATATTTCCTTTTCCACCAATGGCCTCAAAGTGCTTGAAATCTCCCCTTGCAAATTCCACAGACAAGTGTTTCAAATCTGCACTGTCTAAAGGAAGGTTCAACCCTGTGAGTTGAATACACACACACAGAAACAAATTCACTGAGAATTCTATTGTCTATCATTACACGAAGAAATCCCGTTTACTACGAAGGCCTCAAAGAGGTCCAAATATCCAGCTGCAGACATTATAAACTGAGTGTTTCCAAAGTGCTCTATGAAAAGAAGTGTTAAACACTGTGAGTTCAATGCACACATCCCAAAGCAGTTTCTGAGAATGATTCCGTCTATTTTTTCTACGAAGATATTTCCTTTTCTGCCGTTGGCCTCAAAGCGCTTGAAATCTCCACTTGCAAATTCCACAAAAAGAGAGTTTCAAATCTGCTCTGTCTAAAGGAAGGTTCAACTCTGTGAGTTGAATACACACCACAAAAAGAAGTTACTGAGAATTCTTCTGTCTAGCATTATATGAAAAATCCCGTTTCCAACGAAGGCCACAAAGAGGTCCAAATATCCACTTGCAGATTCTGCAAAAAGAGTGTTTCCAAACTGCTCTATGAAAAGAAACGTTAAACTCTGTGAGTTGAACGCAAACATCACAAAGTAGTTTCTGAGAATGA
Source organism: Homo sapiens (assembly GCF_000001405.40). Taxonomy (NCBI): domain Eukaryota; kingdom Metazoa; phylum Chordata; class Mammalia; order Primates; family Hominidae; genus Homo; species Homo sapiens. The sequence goes on along the minus strand of NC_000003.12, from coordinate 93,641,961 downwards.
CTCCGTCTAGTTTTTATACGAAGATATTTCCTTTCCTACCATTCACTTCAAAGCGCTTGAAGTCTCCCCCTGAAAATTCCACAAAAAGTGTTTCCAATCTGCTCCGCCTAAAGGAAGCTTCAACTGCTGTGAGTTGAATACCCACAACCCAAAGAAGTTACTGAGAATTCTTCTGTCTAGCATTATATGAAGAAATCCCGTTTCCAACGAAGGCCTCAAATACATCCAAATATCCAGTTGCTGACTTTACAAACTGAGTGTTTCCAAACTGCTCTATGAAAAGAAAGGTTAAACACTGTGAGTTGAACACACACGTACCAAAGTAGTTTCTGAGAATGATTCTGTCTAGTTTGCATACGAAGATATTTCCTTTTCTACCATTGGCCTCAAAGCTCTGAAATCTCCACTTGCAAATTCCACAAAAAGAGAGTTTCAAATCTGCTGTTTCTAAAGGAAAGTTCAACTCTGAGAGTTGAATACACACCAGAAAAAGCAGTTACTGAGAAGTCTTCTGTCTAGCATTATATGAAGAAATCCCATTTCCAACGAAGACTTCAAAGAGGTCCAAATATCCACTTGCAGATTCTGCAAAAAGAGTGTTTCGAAACAACTGTATGAAAAGAAAGGTTAAACACTGTGAGTTGAACGCACACATTGCAAAGCAGTTTCTGAGAATGATTCCGTCTAATTATTATACGAAGGTATTTCCTTTTCTATCATTGGCCTCAAAGCGCTTGATACCTCCACCTGAAAATTCCAGAAAAAGAGTGTTTCCAATCTACTCTGTCTAAAGGAACGTTCAACTCCGTGAGTTGAATACACACACACAGAAAGAATTCACTGAGAATTCTTCTGTCTGGCATTACATGAAGAAATCCCGTTTCCAACGAAGGCCTCAAAGAGGTCCAAATATCCACTTGCAGATTCTGCAAAAAGAGTGTTTCAAAACCGCTCCATTAAAAGGAATGTTGAACTCTGTGAGTTGAATGCAAACATCACAACTCAGTTTCTGAGAATGCTTCTGACTAGATTTTATGGTAAGATATTTCCTTTTCTACCGTAGGCTTCAATGCCCTCTAAATACACCCTTGCAAATTCTACAAAGAGACTGTTTCATAACTGCTCTATAGGAAGAAAGGTTGAACTCTGTGAGTTGAATGCAGAGATCACAACGTGGTTTCTGCGAATGATTCTTTGTAGTTTTTACATGAAGATATTTCGTTGTCAACCGTAGGCTTCAAAGCACTCAAAGTATTCACTTGGAACTTTTACAAAAAGAGTGTTAGAAAACTGCTCTTTCCAAAGTAAGGTTCAACTCTGTGAGTTGAATGCACACATAACAATCAAGAAGTTTCTGAGAATTCTTCTGTCCTGGTTTATATGAAAAAATCCCGTTTCCAACGAAGGCCTCAAAGACGTTTAAATATCCACTTGCAGACTTCACAAACAGAGGGTTTCCAAACTGCTCTATGAAAAGAAAGGTTAAACTCTGTGAGTTTAATACACACATCACAAAGCAGTTTCTGAGAATGATACTGTCTAGTTTTTATACGAAGATATTTCCTTTTGTACCATTGGCCTCATACTGCTAGAAATTTCCACTTGCAAATTCCACAAAAAGAGTGTTTCCAATCTGCTCTGTCTAAAGGAAGGTTCAACTCTGTGAGTTGAGTACACACACACAAAGAAGCTACTGAGAATTCTTTTGTCAAGAATTATAAGAAGAAATCCCGTTTCCAACGAAGGCCTCAAAGAGTTCCAAATATCCACTTGCACACTGCAAAAACTAAGTCTTTCCAAACTGCTCTATGCAAAGAAATGTTCAACTCTGTGAGTTTAATTCACACATCACAAAGCAGTTTCTGAGAATGATACTGTCTAGTTTTTATACGAAGATATTTCCTTTTGTACCATTGGCCTCATACTGCTAGAATTTTCCACTTGCAAATTCCACAAAAAGAGTGTTTCCAATCCGCTCTGTCTAAAGGAAGGTTCAACTCTCTGATTTGAATACATACATCCCAAAAGAAGTTACTGAGAATTCTTCTGTCTAGCATTATGTGAAGAAATCCCGTTTCCAACGAAAGCCTCAAAGAGGTCCAAATATCCAGTTGCAGAATTTACAAACTGACTGTTTCCAAACTCATCTATGAAAAGAAAGGTTAAACTCTGTGAGTTGAATGCACATATCACAAAGTAGTTCCTGAGAATGATTCTGTCTAGTTTTTATACGAAGATATTCCCTTTTCCACCAATGGCCTCAAAGTGCTTGAAATCTCCCCTTACAAATTCCACAGAAAAGTGTTTCAAATCTGCACTGTCTGAAGGAAGGTTCAACCCTGTGAGTTGAATACACACACACAGAAAAAAATTCACTGAGAATTCTATTGTCTATCATTACACGAAGAAATCCCGTTTACTACGAAGGCCTCAAAGAGGTCCAAATATCCAGCTGCAGACATTACAAACTGAGTGTTTCCAAAGTGCTCTATGAAAAGAAGTGTTAAACACTGTGAGTTCAATGCACACATCCCAAAGCAGTTTCTGAGAATGATTCCGTCTATTTTTTCTACGAAGATATTTCCTTTTCTGCCGTTGGCCTCAAAGCGCTTGAAATCTCCACTTGCAAATTCCACAAAAAGAGAGTTTCAAATCTGCTCTGTCTAAAGGAAGGTTCAACTCTGTGAGTTGAATACACACCACAAAAAGAAGTTACTGAGAATTCTTCTGTCTAGCATTATATGAAAAATCCCGTTTCCAACGAAGGCCACAAAGAGGTCCAAATATCCACTTGCAGATTCTGCAAAAAGAGTGTTTCCAAACTGCTCTATGAAAAGAAACGTTAAACTCTGTGAGTTGAACGCAAACATCACAAAGTAGTTTCTGAGAATGACTCCGTCTAGTTTTTATACGAAGATATTTCCTTTCCTACCATTCACTTCAAAGCGCTTGAAGTCTCCCCCTGAAAATTCCACAAAAAGTGTTTCCAATCTGCTCCGCTAAAGGAAGCTTCAACTCTGTGACTTGAATACCCACAACCCAAAGAAGTTACTGAGAATTCTTCTGTCTAGCATTATATGAAGAAATCCCGTTTCCAACGAAGGCCTCAAATACATCCAAATATCCAGTTGCTGACTTTACAAACTGAGTGTTTCCAAACTGCTCTATGAAAAGAAAGGTTAAACACTGTGAGTTGAACACACACGTACCAAAGTAGTTTCTGAGAATGATTCTGTCTAGTTTGCATACGAAGATATTTCCTTTTCTACCATTGGCCTCAAAGCTTTGAAATCTCCACTTGCAAATTCCACAAAAAGAGAGTTTCAACTCTGCTGTTTCTAAAGGAAAGTTCAACTCTGAGAGTTGAATACACACCAGAAAAAGCAGTTACTGAGAAGTCTTCTGTCTAGCATTATATGAAGAAATCCCATTTCCAACGAAGACTTCAAAGAGGTCCAAATATCCACTTGCAGATTCTGCAAAAAGAGTGTTTCGAAACAACTGTATGAAAAGAAAGGTTAAACACTGTGAGTTGAACGCACACATTGCAAAGCGGTTTCTGAGAATGATTCCGTCTAATTATTATACGAAGGTATTTCCTTTTCTATCATTGGCCTCAAAGCGCTTGATACCTCCACCTGAAAATTCCACAAAAAGAGTGTTTCCAATCTACTCTGTCTAAAGGAACGTTCAACTCTGTGAGTTGAATACACACACACAGAAAGAATTCACTGAGAATTCTTCTGTCTGGCATTACATGAAGAAATCCCGTTTCCAACGAAGGCCTCAAAGCAGGTCCAAATATCCACTTGCAGATTCTGCAAAAAGAGTGTTTCAAAACCGCTCCATTAAAAGGAATGTTGAACTCTGTGAGTTGAATGGAAACATCACAACTCAGTTGCTGAGAATGCTTCTGACTAGATTTTATGGTAAGATATTTCCTTTTATACCGTAGGCTTCAATGCCCTCTAAATACACCCTTGCAAATTCTACAAAGAGACTGTTTCATAACTGCTCTATAGGAAGAAAGGTTCAACTCTGTGAGTTGAATGCAGAGATCACAACGTGGTTTCTGCGAATGATTCTTTGTAGTTTTTACAGGAAGATATTTCGTTGTCAACCGTAGGCTTCAAACACTCAAAGTATTCACTTGGAACTTTTACAAAAAGAGTGTTAGAAAACTGCTCTTTCCAAAGTAAGTTTCAACTCTGTGAGTTGAATGCACACATAACAATCAAGAAGTTTCTGAGAATTCTTCTGTCCTGGTTTATATGAAGAAATCCCGTTTCCAACGAAGGCCTCAAAGACGTTTAAATATCCACTTGCAGACTTCACAAACAGAGTGTTTCCAAACTGCTCTATGAAAAGAAAGGGTAAACACTGTGAGTTGAACGCACACCTCACAAAGTAGTTTCTGAGAATGATACTGTCTAGTTTTTATACGAAGATATTTCCTTTCTACCATTGGCGTCAAAGCGCTAGAATTCTCCACTTGCAAATTCCACAAAAAGAGTGTTTCCAATCTGCTCTGTCTAAAGGAAGGTTCAACTCTGTGAGTTGAATACACACACACAAAGAAGCTACTGAGAATTCTTTTGTCAAGAATTATAAGAAGAAATCCCGTTTCCAACGAAGGCCTCAAAGAGTTCCAAATATCCACTTGCACACTGTACAAACTAAGTCTTTCCAAACTGCTCTATGCAAAGAAATGTTCAACCCTGTGAGTTTAATGCACACATCACAAAGCAGTTTCTGAGAATGATACTGTCTAGTTTTTATACGAAGATATTTCCTTTTGTACCATTGGCCTCATACTGCTAGAATTTTCCACTTGCAAATTCCACAAAAAGAGTGTTTCCAATCCGCTCTGTCTAAAGGAAGGTTCAACTCTCTGATTTGAATACATACATCCCAAAAGAATTTACTGAGAATTCTTCTGTCTAGCATTATGTGAAGAAATCCCGTTTCCAACGAAAGCCTCAAAGAGGTCCAAATATCCAGTTGCAGAATTTACAAACTGACTGTTTCCAAACTCATCTATGAAAAGAAAGGTTGAACTCTGGGAGTTGAATGCACATATCACAAAGTAGTTCCTGAGAATGATTCTGTCTAGTTTTCATACGAAGATATTTCCTTTTCCACCAATGGCCTCAAAGTGCTTGAAATCTCCCCTTGCAAATTCCACAGACAAGTGTCTCAAATCTGCACTGTCTAAAGGAAGGTTCAACCCTGTGAGTTGAATACACACACACAGAAAAAAATTCACTGAGAATTCTATTGTCTATCATTACACGAAGAAATCCCGTTTACTACGAAGGCCTCAAAGAGGTCCAAATATCCAGCTGCAGACATTACAAACTGAGTGTTTCCAAAGTGCTCTATGAAAAGAAGTGTTAAACACTGTGAGTTCAATGCACACATCCCAAAGCAGTTTCTGAGAATGATTCCGTCTATTTTTTCTACGAAGATATTTCCTTTTCTGCCGTTGGCCTCAAAGCGCTTGAAATCTCCACTTGCAAATTCCACAAAAAGAGAGTTTCAAATCTGCTCTGTCTAAAGGAAGGTTCAACTCTGTGAGTTGAATACACACCACAAAAAGAAGTTACTGAGAATTCTTCTGTCTAGCATTATATGAAAAATCCCGTTTCCAACGAAGGCCACAAAGAGGTCTAAATATCCACTTGCAGATTCTGCAAAAAGAGTGTTTCCAAACTGCTCTATGAAAAGAAACGTTAAACTACTGTGAGTTGAACGCAAACATCACAAAGTAGTTTCTGAGAATGACTTCCGTCTAGTTTTTATACGAAGATATTTCCTTTTCTACCGTTGGCCTCAGAGCGCTTGAAGTCTCCCCCTGAAAATTCCACAAAAAGTGTTTCCAATCTGCTCCGCCTAAAGGAAGCTTCAACTCTGTGAGTTGAATACCCACAACCCAAAGAAGTTACTGAGAATTCTTCTGTCTAGCATTATATGAAGAAATCCCGTTTCCAACGAAGGCCTCAAATACATCCAAATATCCAGTTGCTGACTTTACAAACTGAGTGTTTCCAAACTGCTCTATGAAAAGAAAGGTTAAACACTGTGAGTTGAACACACACGTACCAAAGTAGTTTCTGAGAATGATTCTGTCTAGTTTGCATACGAAGATATTTCCTTTTCTACCAGTGGCCTCAAAGCTCTGAAATCTCCACTTGCAAATTCCACAAAAAGAGAGTTTCAAATCTGCTGTTTCTAAAGGAAAGTTCAACTCGGAGAGTTGAATACACACCAGAAAAAGCAGTTACTGAGAAGTCTTCTGTCTAGCATTATATGAAGAAATCCCATTTCCAACGAAGACTTCAAAGAGGTCCAAATATCCACTTGCAGATTCTGCAAAAAGAGTGTTTCGAAACAACTCTATGAAAAGAAAGGTTAAACACTGTGAGTTGAACGCACACATTGCAAAGCAGTTTCTGAGAATGATTCCGTCTAATTATTATACGAAGGTATTTCCTTTTCTATCATTGGCCTCAAAGCGCTTGATACCTCCACCTGAAAATTCCACAAAAAGAGTGTTTCCAATCTACTCTGTCTAAAGGAACGTTCAACTCTGTGAGTTGAATACACACACACAGAAAGAATTCACTGAGAATTCTTCTGTCTGGCATTACATGAAGAAATCCCGTTTCCAACGAAGGCCTCAAAGAGGTCCAAATATCCACTTGCAGATTCTGCAAAAAGAGTGTTTCAAAACCGCTCCATTAAAAGGAATGTTGAACTCTGTGAGTTGAATGCAAACATCACAACTCAGTTGCTGAGAATGCTTCTGACTAGATTTTATGGTAAGATATTTCCTTTTCCACCGTAGGCTTCAATGCCCTGTAAATACACCCTTGCAAATTCTACAAAGAGACTGCTTCATAACTGCTCTATAGGAGGAAAGGTTCAACTCTGTGAGTTGAATGCAGAGATCACAACGTGGTTTCTGCGAATGATTCTTTGTAGTTTTTACATGAAGATATTTCGTTGTCTACCGTAGGCTTCAAAGCACTCAAAGTATTCACTTGGAACTTTTACAAAAAGAGTGTTAGAAAACTGCTCTTTCCAAGGTAAGGTTCAACTCTGTGAGTTGAATGCACACATAACAAACAAGAAGTTTCTGAGAATTCTTCTGTCCTGGTTTATATGAAGAAATCCCGTTTCCAACGAAGGCCTCAAAGACGTTTAAATATCCACTTGCAGACTTCACAAACAGAGTGTTTCCAAACTGCTCTATGAAAAGAAAGGGTAAACACTGTGAGTTGAACGCACACATCACAAAGTAGTTTCTGAGAATGATACTGTCTAGTTTTTATACGAAGATATTTCCTTTCTACCATTGGCGTCAAAGCGCTAGAATTCTCCACTTGCAAATTCCACAAAAAGAGTGTTTCCAATCTGCTCTGTCTAAAGGAAGGTTCAACTCTGTGAGTTGAATACACACACACAAAGAAGCTACTGAGAATTCTTTTGTCAAGAATTATAAGAAGAAATCCCGTTTCCAACGAAGGCCTCAAAGAGTTCCAAATATCCACTTGCACACTGCACAAACTAAGTCTTTCCAAACTGCTCTATGCAAAGAAATGTTCAACTCTGTGAGTTTAATACACACATCACAAAGCAGTTTCTGAGAATGATTCCGTCTAGTTTTTATACGAAGATAGCCTTTTCTACCATTGGCCTCAAGGCTCTTGAAATCTCCACCTGAAAATTCCGCAAAAAGCGTGTTTCCAATCCGCTCTGTCTAAAGGAAGGTTCAACTCTATGAGTTGAATACATACATCCCAAAAGAAGTTACTGAGAATTCTTCTGTCTAGCATTATGTGAAGAAATCCCGTTTCCAACGAAAGCCTCAAAGAGGTCCAAATATCCAGTTGCAGAATTTACAAACTGACTGTTTCCAAACTCATCTATGAAAAGAAAGGTTAAACTGTGTGAGTTGAATGCACATATCACAAAGTAGTTCCTGAGAATGATTCTGTCTAGTTTTTATACGAAGATATTTCCTTTTCCACCAATGGCCTCAAAGTGCTTGAAATCTCCCCTTGCAAATTCCACAGACAAGTGTTTCAAATCTGCACTGTCTAAAGGAAGGTTCAACCCTGTGAGTTGAATACACACACACAGAAAAAAATTCACTGAGAATTCTATTGTCTATCATTACACGAAGAAATCCCGTTTACTACGAAGGCCTCAAAGAGGTCCAAATATCCAGCTGCAGACATTACAACCTGAGTGTTTCCAAAGTGCTCTAGGAAAAGAAGTGTTAAACACTGTGAGTTCAATGCACACATCCCAAAGCAGTTTCTGAGAATGATTCCGTCTATTTTTTCTACGAAGATATTTCCTTTTCTGCCGTTGGCCTCAAAGCGCTTGAAATCTCCACTTGCAAATTCCACAAAAAGAGAGTTTCAAATCTGCTCTGTCTAAAGGAAGGTTCAACTCTGTGAGTTGAATACACACCACAAAAAGAAGTTACTGAGAATTCTTCTGTCTAGCATTATATGAAAAATCCCGTTTCCAACGAAGGCCACAAAGAGGTCCAAATATCCACTTGCAGATTCTGCAAAAAGAGTGTTTCCAAACTGCTCTATGAAAAGAAACGTTAAACTGCTGTGAGTTGAACGCAAACATCACAAAGTAGTTTCTGAGAATGACTCCGTCTAGTTTTTATACGAAGATATTTCCTTTCCTACCATTCACTTCAAAGCGCTTGAAGTCTCCCCCTGAAAATTCCACAAAAAGTGTTTCCAATCTGCTCCGCCTAAAGGAAGCTTCAACTCTGTGACTTGAATACCCACAACCCAAAGAAGTTACTGAGAATTCTTCTGTCTAGCATTATATGAAGAAATCCCGTTTCCAACGAAGGCCTCAAATACATCCAAATATCCAGTTGCTGACTTTACAAACTGAGTGTTTCCAAACTGCTCTATGAAAAGAAAGGTTAAACACTGTGAGTTGAACACACACGTACCAAAGTAGTTTCTGAGAATGATTCTGTCTAGTTTGCATACGAAGATATTTCCTTTTCTACCATTGGCCTCAAAGCTCTGAAATCTCCACTTGCAAATTCCACAAAAAGAGAGTTTCAAATCTGCTGTTTCTAAAGGAAAGTTCAACTCTGAGAGTTGAATACACACCAGAAAAAGCAGTTACTGAGAAGTCTTCTGTCTAGCATTATATGAAGAAATCCCATTTCCAACGAAGACTTCAAAGAGGTCCAAATATCCACTTGCAGATTCTGCAAAAAGAGTGTTTCGAAACAACTGTATGAAAAGAAAGGTTAAACACTGTGAGTTGAACGCACACATTGCAAAGCAGTTTCTGAGAATGATTCCGTCTAATTATTATACGAAGGTATTTCCTTTTCTATCATTGGCCTCAAAGCGCTTGATACCTCCACCTGAAAATTCCACAAAAAGAGTGTTTCCAATCTACTCTGTCTAAAGGAACGTTCAACTCTGTGAGTTGAATACACACACACAGAAAGAATTCACTGAGAATTCTTCTGTCTGGCATTACATGAAGAAATCCCGTTTCCAACGAAGGCCTCAAAGCAGGTCCAAATATCCACTTGCAGATTCTGCAAAAAGAGTGTTTCAAAACCGCTCCATTAAAAGGAATGTTGAACTCTGTGAGTTGAATGGAAACATCACAACTCAGTTGCTGAGAATGCTTCTGACTAGATTTTATGGTAAGATATTTCCTTTTCTACCGTAGGCTTCAATGCCCTCTAAATACACCCTTGCAAATTCTACAAAGAGACTGTTTCATAACTGCTCTATAGGAAGAAAGGTTCAACACTGTGAGTTGAATGCAGAGATCACAACGTGGTTTCTGCGAATGATTCTTTGTAGTTTTTACATGAAGATATTTCGTTGTCAACCGTAGGCTTCAAAGCACTCAAAGTATTCACTTGGAACTTTTACAAAAAGAGTGTTAGAAAACTGCTCTTTCCAAAGTAAGGTTCAACTCTGTGAGTTGAATGCACACATAACAATCAAGAAGTTTCTGAGAATTCTTCTGTCCTGGTTTATATGAAGAAATCCCGTTTCCAACGAAGGCCTCAAAGACGTTTAAATATCCACTTGCAGACTTCACAAACAGAAGGTTTCCAAACTGCTCTATGAAAAGAAAGGTTAAACTCTGTGAGTTGAACGCACACATCACAAAGTAGCTTCTGAGAATGATACTGTCTAGTTTTTATACGAAGATATTTCCTTTCTACCATTGGCGTCAAAGCGCTAGAATTCTCCACTTGCAAATTCCACAAAAAGAGTGTTTCCAATCTGCTCTGTCTAAAGGAAGGTTCAACTCTGTGAGTTGAATACACACACACAAAGAAGCTACTGAGAATTCTTTTGTCAAGAATTATAAGAAGAAATCCCGTTTCCAACGAAGGCCTCAAAGAGTTCCAAATATCCACTTGCACACTGCACAAACTAAGTCTTTCCAAACTGCTCTATGCAAAGAAATGTTCAACTCTGTGAGTTTAATACACACATCACAAAGCAGTTTCTGAGAATGATACTGTCTAGTTTTTATACGAAGATATTTCCTTTTGTACCATTGGCCTCATACTGCTAGAATTTTCCACTTGCAAATTCCACAAAAAGAGTGTTTCCAATCCGCTCTGTCTAAAGGAAGGTTCAACTCTCTGATTTGAATACATACATCCCAAAAGAAGTTACTGAGAATTCTTCTGTCTAGCATTATGTGAAGAAATCCCGTTTCCAACGAAAGCCTCAAAGAGGTCCAAATATCCAGTGGCAGAATTTACAAACTGACTGTTTCCAAACTCATCTATGAAAAGAAAGGTTAAACTCTGGGAGTTGAATGCACATATCACAAAGTAGTTCCTGAGAATGATTCTGTCTAGTTTTCATACGAAGATATTTCCTTTTCCACCAATGGCCTCAAAGTGCTTGAAATCTCCCCTTGCAAATTCCACAGACAAGTGTTTCAAATCTGCACTGTCTAAAGGAAGGTTCAACCCTGTGAGTTGAATACACACACACAGAAAAAAATTCACTGAGAATTCTATTGTCTATCATTACACGAAGAAATCCCGTTTACTACGAAGGCCTCAAAGAGGTCCAAATATCCAGCTGCAGACATTACAAACTGAGTGTTTCCAAAGTGCTCTATGAAAAGAAGTGTTAAACACTGTGAGTTCAATGCACACATCCCAAAGCAGTTTCTGAGAATGATTCCGTCTATTTTTTTCTACGAAGATATTTCCTTTTCTACCGTTGGCCTCAAAGCGCTTGAAATCTCCATTTGCAAATTCCACAAAAAGAGAGTTTCAAATCTGCTCTGTCTAAAGGAAGGTTCAACTCTGTGAGTTGAATACACACCACAACAAGAAGTTACTGAGAATTCTTCTGTCTAGCATTATATGAAAAATCCCGTTTCCAACGATGGCCACAAAGAGGTCCAAATATCCACTTGCAGACTCTGCAAAAAGAGTGTTTCCAAACTGCTCTATGAAAAGAAACGTTAAACTCTGTGAGTTGAACGCAAACATCACAAAGTAGTTTCTGACAATGACTCCGTCTAGTTTTTATACGAAGATATTTCCTTTCCTACCATTCACTTCAAAGCGCTTGAAGTCTCCCCCTGAAAATTCCACAAAAAGTGTTTCCAATCTGCTCCGCCTAAAGGAAGCTTCAACTCTGTGAGTTGAATACCCACAACCCAAAGAAGTTACTGAGAATTCTTCTGTCTAGCATTATATGAAGAAATCCCGTTTCCAACGAAGGCCTCAAATACATCCAAATATCCAGTTGCTGACTTTACAAACTGAGTGTTTCCAAACTGCTCTATGAAAAGAAAGGTTAAACACTGTGAGTTGAACACACACGTACCAAAGTAGTTTCTGAGAATGATTCTGTCTAGTTTGCATACGAAGATATTTCCTTTTCTACCATTGGCCTCAAAGCTCTGAAATCTCCACTTGCAAATTCCACAAAAAGAGAGTTTCAAATCTGCTGTTTCTAAAGGAAAGTTCAACTCTGAGAGTTGAATACACACCAGAAAAAGCAGTTACTGAGAAGTCTTCTGTCTAGCATTATATGAAGAAATCCCATTTCCAACGAAGACTTCAAAGAGGTCCAAATATCCACTTGCAGATTCTGCAAAAAGAGTGTTTCGAAACAACTGTATGAAAAGAAAGGTTAAACACTGTGAGTTGAACGCACACATTGCAAAGCAGTTTCTGAGAATGATTCCGTCTAATTATTATACGAAGGTATTTCCTTTTCTATCATTGGCCTCAAAGCGCTTGATACCTCCACCTGAAAATTCCACAAAAAGAGTGTTTCCAATCTACTCTGTCTAAAGGAACGTTCAACTCTGTGAGTTGAATACACACACACAGAAAGAATTCACTGAGAATTCTTCTGTCTGGCATTACATGAAGAAATCCCGTTTCCAACGAAGGCCTCAAAGAGGTCCAAATATCCACTTGCAGATTCTGCAAAAAGAGTGTTTCAAAACCGCTCCATTAAAAGGAATGTTGAACTCTGTGAGTTGAATGCAAACATCACAACTCAGTTTCTGAGAATGCTTCTGACTAGATTTTATGGTCAGATATTTCCTTTTCTACCGTAGGCTTCAATGCCCTCTAAATACACCCTTGCAAATTCTACAAAGAGACTGTTTAATAACTGCTCTATAGGAAGAAAGGTTGAACTCTGTGAGTTGAATGCAGAGATCACAACGTGGTTTCTGCGAATGATTCTTTGTAGTTTTTACATGAAGATATTTCGTTGTCTACCGTAGGCTTCAAAGCACTCAAAGTATTCACTTGGAACTTTTACAAAAAGAGTGTTAGGAAACTGCTCTTTCCAAAGTAAGGTTCAACTCTGTGAGTTGAATGCACACATAACAAACAAGAAGTTTCTGAGGATTCTTCTGTCCTGGTTTATATGAAAAAATCCCGTTTCCAACGAAGGCCTCAAAGACGTTTAAATATCCACTTGCAGACTTCACAAACAGAGTGTTTCCAAACTGCTCTATGAAAAGAAACGTTAAACTCTGTGAGTTGAACGCAAACATCACAAAGTAGTTTCTGAGAATGACTACTGTCTAGTTTTTATACGAAGATATTTCCTTTCTACCATTGGCGTCAAAGCGCTAGAATTCTCCACTTGCAAATTCCACAAAAAGAGTGTTTCCAATCTGCTCTGTCTAAAGGAAGGTTCAACTCTGTGAGTTGAATACACACACACAAAGAAGCTACTGAGAATTCTTTTGTCAAGAATTATAAGAAGAAATCCCGTTTCCAACCAAGGCCTCAAAGAGTTCCAAATATCCACTTGCACACTGCACAAACTAAGTCTTTCCATACTGCTCTATGCAAAGAAATGTTCAAATCTGTGAGTTTAATACACACATCACAAAGCAGTTTCTGAGAATGATACTGTCTAGTTTTTATACGAAGATATTTCCTTTTGTACCATTGGCCTCATACTGCTAGAATTTTCCACTTGCAAATTCCACAAAAAGAGTGTTTCCAATCCGCTCTGTCTAAAGGAAGGTTCAACTCTCTGATTTGAATACATACATCCCAAAAGAAGTTACTGAGAATTCTTCTGTCTAGCATTATGTGAAGAAATCCCGTTTCCAACGAAAGCCTCAAAGAGGTCCAAATATCCAGTTGCAGAATTTACAAACTGACTGTTTCCAAACTCATCTATGAAAAGAAAGGTTAAACTCTGTGAGTTGAATGCACATATCACAAAGTAGTTCCTGAGAATGATTCTGTCTAGTTTTCATACGAAGATATTTCCTTTTCCACCAATGGCCTCAAAGTGCTTGAAATCTCCCCTTGCAAATTCCACAGACAAGTGTTTCAAATCTGCACTGTCTAAAGGAAGGTTCAACCCTGTGAGTTGAATACACACACACAGAAAAAAATTCACTGAGAATTCTATTGTCTATCATTACACGAAGAAATCCCGTTTACTACGAAGGCCTCAAAGAGGTCCAAATATCCAGCTGCAGACATTACAAACTGAGTGTTTCCAAAGTGCTCTATGAAAAGAAGTGTTAAACACTGTGAGTTCAATGCACACATCCCAAAGCAGTTTCTGAGAATGATTCCGTCTATTTTTTCTACGAAGATATTTCCTTTTCTGCCGTTGGCCTCAAAGCGCTTGAAATCTCCACTTGCAAATTCCACAAAAAGAGAGTTTCAAATCTGCTCTGTCTAAAGGAAGGTTCAACTCTGTGAGTTGAATACACACCACAAAAAGAAGTTACTGAGAATTCTTCTGTCTAGCATTATATGAAAAATCCCGTTTCCAACGAAGGCCACAAAGAGGTCCAAATATCCACTTGCAGATTCTGCAAAAAGAGTGTTTCCAAACTGCTCTATGAAAAGAAACGTTAAACTCTGTGAGTTGAACGCAAACATCACAAAGTAGTTTCTGAGAATGACTCCGTCTACTTTTTATACGAAGATATTTCCTTTTCTACCATTCACTTCAAAGCGCTTGAAGTCTCCCCCTGAAAATTCCACAAAAAGTGTTTCCAATCTGCTCCGCCTAAAGGAAGCTTCAACTCTGTGAGTTGAATACCCACAACCCAAAGAAGTTACTGAGAATTCTTCTGTCTAGCACTATATGAAGAAATCCCGTTTCCAACGAAGGCCTCAAATACATCCAAATATCCAGTTGCTGACTTTACAAACTGAGTGTTTCCAAACTGCTCTATGAAAAGAAAGGTTAAACACTGTGAGTTGAACACACACGTACCAAAGTAGTTTCTGAGAATGATTCTGTCTAGTTTGCATACGAAGATATTTCCTTTTCTACCATTGGCCTCAAAGCTCTGAAATCTCCACTTGCAAATTCCACAAAAAGAGAGTTTCAAATCTGCTGTTTCTAAAGGAAAGTTCAACTCTGAGAGTTGAATACACACCAGAAAAAGCAGTTACTGAGAAGTCTTCTGTCTAGCATTATATGAAGAAATCCCATTTCCAACGAAGACTTCAAAGAGGTCCAAATATCCACTTGCAGATTCTGCAAAAAGAGTGTTTCGAAACAACTGTATGAAAAGAAAGGTTAAACACTGTGAGTTGAACGCACACATTGCAAAGCAGTTTCTGAGAATGATTCCGTCTAATTATTATACGAAGGTATTTCCTTTTCTATCATTGGCCTCAAAGCGCTTGATACCTCCACCTGAAAATTCCACAAAAAGAGTGTTTCCAATCTACTCTGTCTAAAGGAACGTTCAACTCTGTGAGTTGAATACACACACACAGAAAGAATTCACTGAGAATTCTTCTGTCTGGCATTACATGAAGAAATCCCGTTTCCAACGAAGGCCTCAAAGAGGTCCAAATATCCACTTGCAGATTCTGCAAAAAGAGTGTTTCAAAACCGCTCCATTAAAAGGAATGTTGAACTCTGTGAGTTGAATGCAAACATCACAACTCAGTTTCTGAGAATGCTTCTGACTAGATTTTATGGTAAGATATTTCCTTTTCTACCGTAGGCTTCAATGCCCTCTAAATACACCCTTGCAAATTCTACAAAGAGACTGTTTCATAACTGCTCTATAGGAAGAAAGGTTGAACTCTGTGAGTTGACTGCAGAGATCACAACGTGGTTTCTGCGAATGATTCTTTGTAGTTTTTACAGGAAGATATTTCGTTGTCAACCGTAGGCTTCAAAGCACTCAAAGTATTCACTTGGAACTTTTACAAAAAGAGTGTTAGAAAACTGCTCTTTCCAAAGTAAGGTTCAACTCTGTGAGTTGAATGCACACATAACAATCAAGAAGTTTCTGAGAATTCTTCTGTCCTGGTTTATATGAAGAAATCCCGTTTCCAACGAAGGCCTCAAAGACGTTTAAATATCCACTTGCAGACTTCACAAACAGAGTGTTTCCAAACTGCTCTATGAAAAGAAAGGTTAAACTCTGTGAGTTGAACGCACACATCACAAAGTAGTTTCTGAGAATGATACTGTCTAGTTTTTATACGAAGATATTTCCTTTCTACCATTGGCGTCAAAGCGCTAGAATTCTCCACTTGCAAATTCCACAAAAAGAGTGTTTCCAATCTGCTCTGTCTAAAGGAAGGTTCAACTCTGTGAGTTGAATACACACACACAAAGAAGCTACTGAGAATTCTTTTGTCAAGAATTATAAGAAGAAATCCCGTTTCCAACCAAGGCCTCAAAGAGTTCCAAATATCCACTTGCACACTGCACAAACTAAGTCTTTCCATACTGCTCTATGCAAAGAAATGTTCAAATCTGTGAGTTTAATACACACATCACAAAGCAGTTTCTGAGAATGATACTGTCTAGTTTTTATACGAAGATATTTCCTTTTGTACCATTGGCCTCATACTGCTAGAATTTTCCACTTGCAAATTCCACAAAAAGAGTGTTTCCAATCCGCTCTGTCTAAAGGAAGGTTCAACTCTCTGATTTGAATACATACATCCCAAAAGAAGTTACTGAGAATTCTTCTGTCTAGCATTATGTGAAGAAATCCCGTTTCCAACGAAAGCCTCAAAGAGGTCCAAATATCCAGTTGCAGAATTTACAAACTGACTGTTTCCAAACTCATCTATGAAAAGAAAGGTTAAACTCTGTGAGTTGAATGCACATATCACAAAGTAGTTCCTGAGAATGATTCTGTCTAGTTTTTATACGAAGATATTTCCTTTTCCACCAATGGCCTCAAAGTGCTTGAAATCTCCCCTTGCAAATTCCACAGACAAGTGTTTCAAATCTGCACTGTCTAAAGGAAGGTTCAACCCTGTGAGTTGAATACACACACACAGAAAAAAATTCACTGAGAATTCTATTGTCTATCATTACACGAAGAAATCCCGTTTACTACGAAGGCCTCAAAGAGGTCCAAATATCCAGCTGCAGACATTACAACCTGAGTGTTTCCAAAGTGCTCTAGGAAAAGAAGTGTTAAACACTGTGAGTTCAATGCACACATCCCAAAGCAGTTTCTGAGAATGATTCCGTCTATTTTTTCTACGAAGATATTTCCTTTTCTACCGTTGGCCTCAAAGCGCTTGAAATCTCCACTTGCAAATTCCACGAAAAGAGAGTTTCAAATCTGCTCTGTCTAAAGGAAGGTTCCACTCTGTGAGTTGAATACACACCACAAAAAGAAGTTACTGAGAATTCTTCTGTCTAGCATTATATGAAAAATCCCGTTTCCAACGAAGGCCACAAAGAGGTCCAAATATCCACTTGCAGATTCTGCAAAAAGAGTGTTTCCAAACTGCTCTATGAAAAGAAACGTTAAACTCTGTGAGTTGAACGCAAACATCACAAAGTAGTTTCTGAGAATGACTCCGTCTAGTTTTTATACGAAGATATTTCCTTTCCTACCATTCACTTCAAAGCGCTTGAAGTCTCCCCCTGAAAATTCCACAAAAAGTGTTTCCAATCTGCTCCGCCTAAAGGAAGCTTCAACTCTGTGACTTGAATACCCACAACCCAAAGAAGTTACTGAGAATTCTTCTGTCTAGCATTACATGAAGAAATCCCGTTTCCAACGAAGGCCTAAAATACATCCAGATATCCAGTTGCTGACTTTACAAACTGAGTGTTTCCAAACTGCTCTATGAAAAGAAAGGTTAAACACTGTGAGTTGAACACACACGTACCAAAGTAGTTTCTGAGAATGATTCTGTCTAGTTTGCATACGAAGATATTTCCTTTTCTACCATTGGCCTCAAAGCTTTGAAATCTCCACTTGCAAATTCCACAAAAAGAGAGTTTCAAATCTGGTGTTTCTAAAGGAAAGTTCAACTCTGAGAGTTGAATACACACCAGAGAAAGCAGTTACTGAGAATTCTTCTGTCTAGCATTATATGAAGAAATCCCATTTCCAACGAAGACTTCAAAGAGGTCCAAATATCCACTTGCAGATTCTGCAAAAAGAGTGTTTCGAAACAACTGTATGAAAAGAAAGGTTAAACACTGTGAGTTGAACGCACACATTGCAAAGCAGTTTCTGAGAATGATTCCGTCTAATTATTATACGAAGGTATTTCCTTTTCTATCATTGGCCTCAAAGCGCTTGATACCTCCACCTGAAAATTCCACAAAAAGAGTGTTTCCAATCTACTCTGTCTAAAGGAACGTTCAACTCTGTGAGTTGAATACACACACACAGAAAGAATTCACTGAGAATTCTTCTGTCTGGCATTACATGAAGAAATCCCGTTTCCAACGAAGGCCTCAAAGAGGTCCAAATATCCACTTGCAGATTCTGCAAAAAGAGTGTTTCAAAACCGCTCCATTAAAAGGAATGTTGAACTCTGTGAGTTGAATGCAAACATCACAACTCAGTTTCTGAGAATGCTTCTGACTAGATTTTATGGTAAGATATTTCCTTTTCTACCGTAGGCTTCAATGCCCTCTAAATACACCCTTGCAAATTCTACAAAGAGACTGTTTCATAACTGCTCTATAGGAAGAAAGGTTCAACTCTGTGAGTTGAATGCAGAGATCACAACGTGGTTTCTGCGAATGATTCTTTGTAGTTTTTACATGAAGATATTTCATTGTCAACCGTAGGCTTCAAAGCACTCAAAGTATTCACTTGGAACTTTTACAAAAAGAGTGTTAGAAAACTGCTCTTTCCAAAGTAAGGTTCAACTCTGTGAGTTGAATGCACACATAACAATCAAGAAGTTTCTGAGAATTCTTCTGTCCTGGTTTATATAAAGAAATCCCGTTTCCAACGAAGGCCTCAAAGACGTTTAAATATCCACTTGCAGACTTCACAAACAGAGTGTTTCCAAACTGCTCTATGAAAAGAAAGGGTAAACACTGTGAGTTGAACGCACACATCACAAAGTAGTTTCTGAGAATGATACTGTCTAGTTTTTATACGAAGATATTTCCTTTCTACCATTGGCGTCAAAGCGCTAGAATTCTCCACTTGCAAATTCCACAAAAAGAGTGTTTCCAATCTGCTCTGTCTCAAGGAAGGTTCAACTCTGTGAGTTGAATACACACACACAAAGAAGCTACTGAGAATTCTTTTGTCAAGAATTATAAGAAGAAATCCCGTTTCCAACCAAGGCCTCAAAGAGTTCCAAATATCCACTTGCACACTGCACAAACTAAGTCTTTCCATACTGCTCTATGCAAAGAAATGTTCAAATGCTGTGAGTTTAATACACACATCACAAAGCAGTTTCTGAGAATGATACTGTCTAGTTTTTATACGAAGATATTTCCTTTTGTACCATTGGCCTCATACTGCTAGAATTTTCCACTTGCAAATTCCACAAAAAGAGTGTTTCCAATCCGCTCTGTCTAAAGGAAGGTTCAACTCTCTGATTTGAATACATACATCCCAAAAGAAGTTACTGAGAATTCTTCTGTCTAGCATTATGTGAAGAAATCCCGTTTCCAACGAAAGCCTCAAAGAGGTCCAAATATCCAGTTGCAGAATTTACAAACTGACTGTTTCCAAACTCATCTATGAAAAGAAAGGTTAAACTCTGTGAGTTGAATGCACATATCACAAAGTAGTTCCTGAGAATGATTCTGTCTAGTTTTTATACGAAGATATTTCCTTTTCCACCAATGGCCTCAAAGTGCTTGAAATCTCCCCTTGCAAATTCCACAGACAAGTGTCTCAAATCTGCACTGTCTAAAGGAAGGTTCAACCCTGTGAGTTGAATACACACACACAGAAAAAAATTCACTGAGAATTCTATTGTCTATCATTACACGAAGAAATCCCGTTTACTACGAAGGCCTCAAAGAGGTCCAAATATCCAGCTGCAGACATTATAAACTGAGTGTTTCCAAAGTGCTCTATGAAAAGAAGTGTTAAACACTGTGAGTTCAATGCACACATCCCAAAGCAGTTTCTGAGAATGATTCCGTCTATTTTTTCTACGAAGATATTTCCTTTTCTACCGTTGGCCTCAAAGCGCTTGAAATCTCCACTTGCAAATTCCACAAAAAGAGAGTTTCAAATCTGCTCTGTCTAAAGGAAGGTTCAACTCTGTGAGTTGAATACACACCACAAAAAGAAGTTACTGAGAATTCTTCTGTCTAGCATTATATGAAAAATCCCGTTTCCAACGAAGGCCACAAAGAGGTCCAAATATCCACTTGCAGATTCTGCAAAAAGAGTGTTTCCAAACTGCTCTATGAAAAGAAACGTTAAACTCTGTGAGTTGAACGCAAACATCACAAAGTAGTTTCTGAGAATGACTCCGTCTAGTTTTTATACGAAGATATTTCCTTTCCTACCATTCACTTCAAAGCGCTTGAAGTCTCCCCCTGAAAATTCCACAAAAAGTGTTTCCAATCTGCTCCGCCTAAAGGAAGCTTCAACTCTGTGACTTGAATACCCACAACCCAAAGAAGTTACTGAGAATTCTTCTGTCTAGCATTATATGAAGAAATCCCGTTTCCAACGAAGGCCTCAAATACATCCAAATATCCAGTTGCTGACTTTACAAACTGAGTGTTTCCAAACTGCTCTATGAAAAGAAAGGTTAAACACTGTGAGTTGAACACACACGTACCAAAGTAGTTTCTGAGAATGATTTCTGTCTAGTTTGCATACGAAGATATTTCCTTTTCTACCATTGGCCTCAAAGCTTTGAAATCTCCACTTGCAAATTCCACAAGAAGAGAGTTTCAACTCTGCTGTTTCTAAAGGAAAGTTCAACTCTGAGAGTTGAATACACACCAGAAAAAGCAGTTACTGAGAAGTCTTCTGTCTAGCATTATATGAAGAAATCCCATTTCCAACGAAGACTTCAAAGAGGTCCAAATATCCACTTCCAGATTCCGCAAAAAGGGTGTTTCGAAACAACTGTATGAAAAGAAAGGTTAAACACTGTGAGTTGAAGGCACACATTGCAAAGCAGTTTCTGAGAATGATTCCGTCTAATTATTATACGAAGGTATTTCCTTTTCTATCATTGGTCTCAAAGCGCTTGATACCTCCACCTGAAAATTCCACAAAAAGAGTGTTTCCAATCTACTCTGTCTAAAGGAACGTTCAACTCTGTGAGTTGAATACACACACACAGAAAGAATTCACTGAGAATTCTTCTGTCTGGCATTACATGAAGAAATCCCGTTTCCAACGAAGACCTCAAAGAGGTCCAAATATCCACTTGCAGATTCTGCAAAAAGAGTGTTTCAAAACCGCTCCATTAAAAGGAATGTTGAACGCTGTGAGTTGAATGCAAACATCACAACTCAGTTTCCTGAGAATGCTTCTGACTAGATTTTATGGTAAGATATTTCCTTTTCTACCGTAGGCTTCAATGCCCTCTAAATACACCCTTGCAAATTCTACAAAGAGACTGTTTCATAACTGCTCTATAGGAAGAAAGGTTCAACACTGTGAGTTGAATGCAGAGATCACAACGTGGTTTCTGCGAATGATTCTTTGTAGTTTTTACATGAAGATATTTCGTTGTCAACCGTAGGCTTCAAAGCACTCAAAGTATTCACTTGGAACTTTTACAAAAAGAGTGTTAGAAAACTGCTCTTTCCAAAGTAAGGTTCAACTCTGTGAGTTGAATGCACACATAACAATCAAGAAGTTTCTGAGAATTCTTCTGTCCTGGTTTATAGGAAAAAATCCCGTTTCCAACGAAGGCCTCAAAGACGTTTAAATATCCACTTGCAGACTTCACAAACAGAGTGTTTCCAAACTGCTCTATGAAAAGAAAGGTTAAACTCTGTGAGTTGAACGCACACATCACAAAGTAGTTTCTGAGAATGATACTGTCTAGTTTTTATACGAAGATATTTCCTTTCTACCATTGGCGTCAAAGCGCTAGAATTCTCCACTTGCAAATTCCACAAAAAGAGTGTTTCCAATCTGCTCTGTCTCAAGGAACGTTCAACTCTGTGAGTTGAATACACACACACAAAGAAGCTACTGAGAATTCTTTTGTCAAGAATTATAAGAAGAAATCCCGTTTCCAACGAAGGCCTCAAAGAGTTCCAAATATCCACTTGCACACTGCACAAACTAAGTCTTTCCAAACTGCTCTATGCAAAGAAATGTTCAACTCTGTGAGTTTAATACACACATCACGAAGCAGTTTCTGAGAATGATACTGTCTAGTTTTTATACGAAGATATTTCCTTTTGTACCATTGGCCTCATACTGCTAGAATTTTCCACTTGCAAATTCCACAAAAAGAGTGTTTCCAATCCGCTCTGTCTAAAGGAAGGTTCAACTCTCTGATTTGAATACATACATCCCAAAAGAAGTTACTGAGAATTCTTCTGTCTAGCATTATGTGAAGAAATCCCGTTTCCAACGAAAGCCTCAAAGAGGTCCAAATATCCAGTTGCAGAATTTACAAACTGACTGATTCCAAACTCATCTATGAAAAGAAAGGTTAAACTCTGTGAGTTGAATGCACATATCACAAAGTAGTTCCTGAGAATGATTCTGTCTAGTTTTTATACGAACATATTTCCTTTTCCACCAATGGCCTCAAAGTGCTTGAAATCTCCCCTTGCAAATTCCACAGACAAGTGTTTCAAATCTGCACTGTCTAAAGGAAGGTTCAACCCTGTGAGTTGAATACACACACACAGAAAAAAATTCACTGAGAATTCTATTGTCTATCATTACACGAAGAAATCCCGTTTACTACGAAGGCCTCAAAGAGGTCCAAATATCCAGCTGCAGACATTACAAACTGAGTGTTTCCAAAGTGCTCTATGAAAAGAAGTGTTAAACACTGTGAGTTCAATGCACACATCCCAAAGCAGTTTCTGAGAATGATTCCGTCTATTTTTTCTACGAAGATATTTCCTTTTCTGCCGTTGGCCTCAAAGCGCTTGAAATCTCCACTTGCAAATTCCACAAAAAGAGAGTTTCAAATCTGCTCTGTCTAAAGGAAGGTTCAACTCTGTGAGTTGAATACACACCACAAAAAGAAGTTACTGAGAATTCTTCTGTCTAGCATTATATGAAAAATCCCGTTTCCAACGAAGGCCACAAAGAGGTCCAAATATCCACTTGCAGATTCTGCAAAAAGAGTGTTTCCAAACTGCTCTATGAAAAGAAACGTTAAACTCTGTGAGTTGAACGCAAACATCACAAAGTAGTTTACTGAGAATGACTCCGTCTAGTTTTTATACGAAGATATTTCCTTTCCTACCATTCAATTCAAAGCGCTTGAAGTCTCACCCTGAAAATTCCACAAAAAGTGTTTCCAATCTGCTCCGCCTAAAGGAAGCTTCAACTCTGTGACTTGAATACCCACAACCCAAAGAAGTTACTGAGAATTCTTCTGTCTAGCATTATATGAAGAAATCCCGTTTCCAACGAAGGCCTCAAATACATCCAAATATCCAGTTGCTGACTTTACAAACTGAGTGTTTCCAAACTGCTCTATGAAAAGAAAGGTTAAACACTGTGAGTTGAACACACACGTACCAAAGTAGTTTCTGAGAATGATTCTGTCTAGTTTGCATACGAAGATATTTCCTTTTCTACCATTGGCCTCAAAGCTCTGAAATCTCCACTTGCAAATTCCACAAAAAGAGAGTTTCAAATCTGCTGTTTCTAAAGGAAAGTTCAACTCTGAGAGTTGAATACACACCAGAAAAAGCAGTTACTGAGAAGTCTTCTGTCTAGCATTATATGAAGAAATCCCATTTCCAACGAAGACTTCAAAGAGGTCCAAATATCCACTTGCAGATTCTGCAAAAAGAGTGTTTCGAAACAACTGTATGAAAAGAAAGGTTAAACACTGTGAGTTGAACGCACACATTGCAAAGCGGTTTCTGAGAATGATTCCGTCTAATTATTATACGAAGGTATTTCCTTTTCTATCATTGGCCTCAAAGCGCTTGATACCTCCACCTGAAAATTCCACAAAAAGAGTGTTTCCAATCTACTCTGTCTAAAGGAACGTTCAACTCTGTGAGTTGAATACACACACACAGAAAGAATTCACTGAGAATTCTTCTGTCTGGCATTACATGAAGAAATCCCGTTTCCAACGAAGGCCTCAAAGAGGTCCAAATATCCACTTGCAGATTCTGCAAAAAGAGTGTTTCAAAACCGCTCCATTAAAAGGAATGTTGAACTCTGTGAGTTGAATGCAAACATCACAACTCAGTTTCTGAGAATGCTTCTGACTAGATTTTATGGTAAGATATTTCCTTTTCTACCGTAGGCTTCAATGCCCTCTAAATACACCCTTGCAAATTCTACAAAGAGACTGTTTCATAACTGCTCTATAGGAAGAAAGGTTGAACTCTGTGAGTTGAATGCAGAGATCACAACGTGGTTTCTGCGAATGATTCTTTGTAGTTTTTACATGAAGATATTTCGTTGTCAACCGTAGGCTTCAAAGCACTCAAAGTATTCACTTGGAACTTTTACAAAAAGAGTGTTAGAAAACTGCTCTTTCCAAAGTAAGGTTCAACTCTGTGAGTTGAATGCACACATAACAATCAAGAAGTTTCTGAGAATTCTTCTGTCCTGGTTTATATGAAAAAATCCCGTTTCCAACGAAGGCCTCAAAGACGTTTAAATATCCACTTGCAGACTTCACAAACAGAGGGTTTCCAAACTGCTCTATGAAAAGAAAGGTTAAACTCTGTGAGTTGAACGCACACATCACAAAGTAGCTTCTGAGAATGATACTGTCTAGTTTTTATACGAAGATATTTCCTTTCTACCATTGGCGTCAAAGCGCTAGAATTCTCCACTTGCAAATTCCACAAAAAGAGTGTTTCCAATCTGCTCTGTCTAAAGGAAGGTTCAACTCTGTGAGTTGAATACACACACACAAAGAAGCTACTGAGAATTCTTTTGTCAAGAATTATAAGAAATCCCGTTTCCAACGAAGGCCTCAAAGAGTTCCAAATATCCACTTGCAGACTGTACAAACTAAGTCTTTCCAAACTGCTCTATGAAAAAGAAATGTTCAACTCTGTGAGTTTAATGCACACATCACAAAGCAGTTTCTGAGAATGATACTGTCTAGTTTTTATACGAAGATATTTCCTTTTGTACCATTGGCCTCATACTGCTAGAATTTTCCACTTGCAAATTCCACAAAAAGAGTGTTTCCAATCCGCTCTGTCTAAAGGAAGGTTCAACTCTCTGATTTGAATACATACATCCCAAAAGAAGTTACTGAGAATTCTTGTCTAGCATTATGTGAAGAAATCCCGTTTCCAACGAAAGCCTCAAAGAGGTCCAAATATCCAGTTGCAGAATTTACAAACTGACTGTTTCCAAACTCATCTATGAAAAGAAAGGTTAAACTCTGTGAGTTGAATGCACATATCACAAAGTAGTTCCTGAGAATGATTCTGTCTAGTTTTCATACGAAGATATTTCCTTTTCCACCAATGGCCTCAAAGTGCTTGAAATCTCCCCTTGCAAATTCCACAGACAAGTGTTTCAAATCTGCACTGTCTAAAGGAAGGTTCAACCCTGTGAGTTGAATACACACACACAGAAAAAAATTCACTGAGAATTCTATTGTCTATCATGACACGAAGAAATCCCGTTTACTACGAAGGCCTCAAAGAGGTCCAAATATCCAGCTGCAGACATTACAAACTGAGTGTTTCCAAAGTGCTCTATGAAAAGAAGTGTTAAACACTGTGAGTTCAATGCACACATCCCAAAGCAGTTTCTGAGAATTATTCCGTCTATTTTTTCTACGAAGATATTTCCTTTTCTACCGTTGGCCTCAAAGCGCTTGAAATCTCCACTTGCAAATTCCACAAAAAGAGAGTTTCAAATCTGCTCTGTCTAAAGGAAGGTTCAACTCTGTGAGTTGAATACACACCACAAAAAGAAGTTACTGAGAATTCTTCTGTCTAGCATTATATGAAAAATCCCGTTTCCAACGAAGGCCACAAAGAGGTCCAAATATCCACTTGCAGATTCTGCAAAAAGAGTGTTTCCAAACTGCTCTATGAAAAGAAACGTTAAACTCTGTGAGTTGAACGCAAACATCACAAAGTAGTTTCTGAGAATGACTCCGTCTAGTTTTTATACGAAGATATTTCCTTTCCTACCATTCACTTCAAAGCGCTTGAAGTCTCCCCCTGAAAATTCCACAAAAAGTGTTTCCAATCTGCTCCGCCTAAAGGAAGCTTCAACTCTGTGACTTGAATACCCACAACCCAAAGAAGTTACTGAGAATTCTTCTGTCTAGCATTATATGAAGAAATCCCGTTTCCAACGAAGGCCTCAAATACATCCAAATATCCAGTTGCTGACTTTACAAACAGTGTTTCCAAACTGCTCTATGAAAAGAAAGGTTAAACACTGTGAGTTGAACACACACGTACCAAAGTAGTTTCTGAGAATGATTCTGTCTAGTTTGCATACGAAGATATTTCCTTTTCTACCATTGGCCTCAAAGCTCTGAAATCTCCACTTGCAAATTCCACAAAAAGAGAGTTTCAAATCTGCTGTTTCTAAAGGAAAGTTCAACTCTGAGAGTTGAATACACACCAGAAAAAGCAGTTACTGAGAAGTCTTCTGTCTAGCATTATATGAAGAAATCCCATTTCCAAAGAAGACTTCAAACAGGTCCAAATATCCACTTGCAGATTCTGCAAAAAGAGTGTTTCGAAACAACTGTATGAAAAGAAAGGTTAAACACTGTGAGTTGAACGCACCCATTGCAAAGCATTTTCTGAGAATGATTCCGTCTAATTATTATACGAAGGTATTTCCTTTTCTATCATTGGCCTCAAAGCGCTTGATACCTCCACCTGAAAATTCCACAAAAAGAGTGTTTCCAATCTACTCTGTCTAAAGGAACGTTCAACTCTGTGAGTTGAATACACACACACAGAAAGAATTCACTGAGAATTCTTCTGTCTGGCATTACATGAAGAAATCCCGTTTCCAACGAAGGCCTCAAAGAGGTCCAAATATCCACTTGCAGATTCTGCAAAAAGAGTGTTTCAAAACCGCTCCATTAAAAGGAATGTTGAACTCTGTGAGTTGAATGCAAACATCACAACTCAGTTTCTGAGAATGCTTCTGACTAGATTTTATGGTCAGATATTTCCTTTTCTACCGTAGGCTTCAATGCCCTCTAAATACACCCTTGCAAATTCTACAAAGAGACTGTTTAATAACTGCTCTATAGGAAGAAAGGTTGAACTCTGTGAGTTGAATGCAGAGATCACAACGTGGTTTCGGCGAATGATTCTTTGTAGTTTTTACATGAAGATATTTCGTTGTCTACCGTAGGCTTCAAAGCACTCAAAGTATTCACTTGGAACTTTTACAAAAAGAGTGTTAGAAAACTGCTCTTTCCAAAGTAAGGTTCAACTCTGTGAGTTGAATGCACACATAACAAACAAGAAGTTTCTGAGAATTCTTCTGTCCTGGTTTATATGAAGAAATCCCGTTTCCAACGAAGGCCTCAAAGACGTTTAAATATCCACTTGCAGACTTCACAAACAGAGTGTTTCCAAACTGCTCTATGAAAAGAAAGGGTAAACACTGTGAGTTGAACGCACACCTCACAAAGTAGTTTCTGAGAATGATACTGTCTAGTTTTTATACGAAGATATTTCCTTTTGTACCATTGGCCTCATACTGCTAGAATTTTCCACTTGCAAATTCCACAAAAAGAGTGTTTCCAATCTGCTCTGTCTAAAGGAAGGTTCAACTCTGTGAGTTGAGTACACACACACAAAGAAGCTACTGAGAATTCTTTTGTCAAGAATTATAAGAAGAAATCCCGTTTCCAACGAAGGCCTCAAAGAGTTCCAAATATCCACTTGCACACTGCACAAACTAAGTCTTTCCAAACTGCTCTATGCAAAGAAATGTTCAACTCTGTGAGTTTAATACACACATCACAAAGCAGTTTCTGAGAATGATACTGTCTAGTTTTTATACGAAGATATTTCCTTTTGTACCATTGGCCTCATACTGCTAGAATTTTCCACTTGCAAATTCCACAAAAAGAGTGTTTCCAATCCGCTCTGTCTAAAGGAAGGTTCAACTCTCTGATTTGAATACATACATCCCAAAAGAAGTTACTGAGAATTCTTCTGTCTAGCATTATGTGAAGAAATCCCGTTTCCAACGAAAGCCTCAAAGAGGTCCAAATATCCAGTTGCAGAATTTACAAACTGACTGTTTCCAAACTCATCTATGAAAAGAAAGGTTAAACTCTGGGAGTTGAATGCACATATCACAAAGTAGTTCCTGAGAATGATTCTGTCTAGTTTTTATACGAAGATATTTCCTTTTCCACCAATGGCCTCAAAGTGCTTGAAATCTCCCCTTGCAAATTCCACAGACAAGTGTTTCAAATCTACACTGTCTAAAGGAAGGTTCAACCCTGTGAGTTGAATACACACACACAGAAAAAAATTCACTGAGAATTACTCTATTGTCTATCATCACACGAAGAAATCCCGTTTACTACGAAGGCCTCAAAGAGGTCCAAATATCCAGCTGCAGACATTACAAACTGAGTGTTTCCAAAGTGCTCTATGAAAAGAAGTGTTAAACACTGTGAATTCAATGCACACATCCCAAAGCAGTTTCTGAGAATGATTCCGTCTATTTTTTCTACGAAGATATTTCCTTTTCTGCCGTTGGCCTCAAAGCGCTTGAAATCTCCACTTGCAAATTCCACAAAAAGAGAGTTTCAAATCTGCTCTGTCTAAAGGAAGGTTCAACTCTGTGAGTTGAATACACACCACAAAAAGAAGTTACTGAGAATTGCTCTGTCTAGCATTATATGAAAAATCCCGTTTCCAACGAAGGCCACAAAGAGGTCCAAATATCCACTTGCAGATTCTGCAAAAAGAGTGTCTCCAAACTGCCCTATGAAAAGAAACGTTAATCTCTGTGAGTTGAACGCAAACATCACAAAGTAGTTTCTGAGAATGACTCCGTCTAGTTTTTATACGAAGATATTTCCTTTTCTACCGTTGGCCTCAAAGCGCTTGAAGTCTCCCCCTGAAAATTCCACAAAAAGTGTTTCCAATCTGCTCCGCCTAAAGGAAGCTTCAACTCTGTGAGTTGAATACCCACAACACAAAGAAGTTACTGAGAATTCTTCTGTCTAGCATTATATGAAGAAATCCCGTTTCCAACGAAGGCCTCAAATACATCCAAATATCCAGTTGCTGACTTTACAAACTGAGTGTTTCCAAACTGCTCTATGAAAAGAAAGGTTAAACACTGTGAGTTGAACACACACGTACCAAAGTAGTTTCTGAGAATGATTCTGTCTAGTTTGCATACGAAGATATTTCCTTTTCTACCATTGGCCTCAAAGCTCTGAAATCTCCACTTGCAAATTCCACAAAAAGAGAGTTTCAAATCTGCTGTTTCTAAAGGAAAGTTCAACTCTGAGAGTTGAATACACACCAGAAAAAGCAGTTACTGAGAAGTCTTCTGTCTAGCATTATATGAAGAAATCCCATTTCCAACGAAGACTTCAAAGAGGTCCAAATATCCACTTGCAGATTCTGCAAAAAGAGTGTTTCGAAACAACTGTATGAAAAGAAAGGTTAAACACTGTGAGTTGAACGCACACATTGCAAAGCAGTTTCTGAGAATGATTCCGTCTAATTATTATACGAAGGTATTTCCTTTTCTATCATTGGCCTCAAAGCGCTTGATACCTCCACCTGAAAATTCCACAAAAAGAGTGTTTCCAATCTACTCTGTCTAAAGGAACGTTCAACTCTGTGAGTTGAATACACACACACAGAAAGAATTCACTGAGAATTCTTCTGTCTGGCATTACATGAAGAAATCCCGTTTCCAACGAAGGCCTCAAAGAGGTCCAAATATCCACTTGCAGATTCTGCAAAAAGAGTGTTTCAAAACCGCTCCATTAAAAGGAATGTTGAACTCTGTGAGTTGAATGCAAACATCACAACTCAGTTGCTGAGAATGCTTCTGACTAGATTTTATGGTAAGATATTTCCTTTTCTACCGTAGGCTTCAATGCCCTCTAAATACACCCTTGCAAATTCTACAAAGAGACTGTTTCATAACTGCTCTATAGGAAGAAAGGTTCAACTCTGTGAGTTGAATGCAGAGATCACAACGTGGTTTCTGCGAATGATTCTTTGTAGTTTTTACATGAAGATATTTCGTTGTCAACCGTAGGCTTCAAAGCACTCAAAGTATTCACTTGGAACTTTTACAAAAAGAGTGTTAGAAAACTGCTCTTTCCAAAGTAAGGTTCAACTCTGTGAGTTGAATGCACACATAACAATCAAGAAGTTTCTGAGAATTCTTCTGTCCTGGTTTATATGAAAAAATCCCGTTTCCAACGAAGGCCTCAAAGACGTTTAAATATCCACTTGCAGACTTCACAAACAGAGGGTTTCCAAACTGCTCTATGAAAAGAAAGGTTAAACTCTGTGAGTTGAACGCACACATCACAAAGTAGCTTCTGAGAATGATTACTGTCTAGTTTTTATACGAAGCATATTTCCTTTCTACCATTGGCGTCAAAGCGCTAGAATTCTCCACTTGCAAATTCCACAAAAAGAGTGTTTCCAATCTGCTCTGTCTAAAGGAAGGTTCAACTCTGTGAGTTGAATACACACACACAAAGAAGCTACTGAGAATTCTTTTGTCAAGAATTATAAGAAGAAATCCCGTTTCCAACCAAGGCCTCAAAGAGTTCCAAATATCCACTTGCACACTGCACAAACTAAGTCTTTCCATACTGCTCTATGCAAAGAAATGTTCAACTCTGTGAGTTTAATACACACATCACAAAGCAGTTTCTGAGAATGATACTGTCTAGTTTTTATACGAAGATATTTCCTTTTGTACCATTGGCCTCATACTGCTAGAATTTTCCACTTGCAAATTCCACAAAAAGAGTGTTTCCAATCCGCTCTGTCTAAAGGAAGGTTCAACTCTCTGATTTGAATACATACATCCCAAAAGAAGTTACTGAGAATTCTTCTGTCTAGCATTATGTGAAGAAATCCCGTTTCCAACGAAAGCCTCAAAGAGGTCCAAATATCCAGTTGCAGAATTTACAAACTGACTGTTTCCAAACTCATCTATGAAAAGAAAGGTTAAACTCTGTGAGTTGAATGCACATATCACAAAGTAGTTCCTGAGAATGATTCTGTCTAGTTTTCATACGAAGATATTTCCTTTTCCACCAATGGCCTCAAAGTGCTTGAAATCTCCCCTTGCAAATTCCACAGACAAGTGTCTCAAATCTGCACTGTCTAAAGGAAGGTTCAACCCTGTGAGTTGAATACACACACACAGAAAAAAATTCACTGAGAATTCTATTGTCTATCATTACACGAAGAAATCCCGTTTACTACGAAGGCCTCAAAGAGGTCCAAATATCCAGCTGCAGACATTACAACCTGAGTGTTTCCAAAGTGCTCTATGAAAAGAAGTGTTAAACACTGTGAGTTCAATGCACACATCCCAAAGCAGTTTGCTGAGAATGATTCCGTCTATTTTTTCTACGAAGATATTTCCTTTTCTGCCGTTGGCCTCAAAGCGCTTGAAATCTCCACTTGCAAATTCCACAAAAGAGAGTTTCAAATCTGCTCTGTCTAAAGGAAGGTTCAACTCTGTGAGTTGAATACACACCACAAAAAGAAGTTACTGAGAATTCTTCTGTCTAGCATTATATGAAAAATCCCGTTTCCAACGAAGGCCACAAAGAGGTCCAAATATCCACTTGCAGATTCTGCAAAAAGAGTGTTTCCAAACTGCTCTATGAAAAGAAACGTTAAACTCTGTGAGTTGAACGCAAACATCACAAAGTAGTTTCTGAGAATGACTCCGTCTAGTTTTTATACGAAGATATTTCCTTTTCTACCATTCACTTCAAAGCGCTTGAAGTCTCCCCCTGAAAATTCCACAAAAAGTGTTTCCAATCTGCTCCGCCTAAAGGAAGCTTCAACTCTGTGAGTTGAATACCCACAACCCAAAGAAGTTACTGAGAATTCTTCTGTCTAGCACTATATGAAGAAATCCCGTTTCCAACGAAGGCCTCAAATACATCCAAATATCCAGTTGCTGACTTTACAAACTGAGTGTTTCCAAACTGCTCTATGAAAAGAAAGGTTAAACACTGTGAGTTGAACACACACGTACCAAAGTAGTTTCTGAGAATGATTCTGTCTAGTTTGCATACGAAGATATTTCCTTTTCTACCATTGGCCTCAAAGCTTTGAAATCTCCACTTGCAAATTCCACAAAAAGAGAGTTTCAACTCTGCTGTTTCTAAAGGAAAGTTCAACTCTGAGAGTTGAATACACACCAGAAAAAGCAGTTACTGAGAAGTCTTCTGTCTAGCATTATATGAAGAAATCCCATTTCCAACGAAGACTTCAAAGAGGTCCAAATATCCACTTGCAGATTCTGCAAAAAGAGTGTTTCGAAACAACTGTATGAAAAGAAAGGTTAAACACTGTGAGTTGAACGCACACATTGCAAAGCAGTTTCTGAGAATGATTCCGTCTAATTATTATACGAAGGTATTTCCTTTTCTATCATTGGCCTCAAAGCGCTTGATACCTCCACCTGAAAATTCCACAAAAAGAGTGTTTCCAATCTACTCTGTCTAAAGGAACGTTCAACTCTGTGAGTTGAATACACACACACAGAAAGAATTCACTGAGAATTCTTCTGTCTGGGATTACATGAAGAAATCCCGTTTCCAACGAAGGCCTCAAAGAGGTCCAAATATCCACTTGCAGATTCTGGAAAAAGAGTGTTTCAAAACCGCTCTATGAAAAGGAATGTTGAACTCTGTGAGTTGAATGCAAACATCACAACTCAGTTTCTGAGAATGCTTCTGACTAGATTTTATGGTAAGATATTTCCTTTTCTACCGTAGGCTTCAATGCCCTCTAAATACACCCTTGCAAATTCTACAAAGAGACTGTTTCATAACTGCTCTATAGGAAGAAAGGTTCAACTCTGTGAGTTGAATGCAGAGATCACAACGTGGTTTCTGCGAATGATTCTTTGTAGTTTTTACATGAAGATATTTCGTTGTCAACCGTAGGCTTCAAAGCACTCAAAGTATTCACTTGGAACTTTTACAAAACGAGTGTTAGGAAACTGCTCTTTCCAAAGTAAGGTTCAACTCTGTGAGTTGAATGCACACATAACAATCAAGAAGTTTCTGAGAATTCTTCTGTCCTGGTTTATATGAAAAAATCCCGTTTCCAACGAAGGCCTCAAAGACGTTTAAATATCCACTTGCAGACTTCACAAACAGAGGGTTTCCAAACCGCTCTATGAAAAGAAAGGTTAAACTCTGTGAGTTGAACGCACACATCACAAAGTAGCTTCTGAGAATGATACTGTCTAGTTTTTATACGAAGATATTTCCTTTCTACCATTGGCGTCAAAGCGCTAGAATTCTCCACTTGCAAATTCCACAAAAAGAGTGTTTCCAATCTGCTCTGTCTAAAGGAAGGTTCAACTCTGTGAGTTGAATACACACACACAAAGAAGCTACTGAGAATTCTTTTGTCAAGAATTATAAGAAGAAATCCCGTTTCCAACGAAGGCCTCAAAGAGTTCCAAATATCCACTTGCACACTGCACAAACTAAGTCTTTCCAAACTGCTCTATGCAAAGAAATGTTCAACTCTGTGAGTTTAATACACACATCACAAAGCAGTTTCTGAGAATGATACTGTCTAGTTTTTATACGAAGATATTTCCTTTTGTACCATTGGCCTCATACTGCTAGAATTTTCCACTTGCAAATTCCACAAAAAGAGTGTTTCCAATCCGCTCTGTCTAAAGGAAGGTTCAACTCTCTGATTTGAATACATACATCCCAAAAGAAGTTCCTGAGAATTCTTCTGTCTAGCATTATGTGAAGAAATCCCGTTTCCAACGAAAGCCTCAAAGAGGTCCAAATATCCAGTTGCAGAATTTACAAACTGACTGTTTCCAAACTCATCTATGAAAAGAAAGGTTAAACTCTGTGAGTTGAATGCACATATCACAAAGTAGTTTCCTGAGAATGATTCTGTCTAGTTTTTATACGAAGATATTTCCTTTTCCACCAATGGCCTCAAAGTGCTTGAAATCTCCCCTTGCAAATTCCACAGACAAGTGTTTCAAATCTGCACTGTCTAAAGGAAGGTTCAACCCTGTGAGTTGAATACACACACACAGGAAAAAATTGACTGAGAATTCTATTGTCTATCATTACACGAAGAAATCCCGTTTACTACGAAGGCCTCAAAGAGGTCCAAATATCCAGCTGCAGACATTACAACCTGAGTGTTTCCAAAGTGCTCTATGAAAAGAAGTGTTAAACACTGTGAGTTCAATGCACACATCCCAAAGCAGTTTCTGAGAATGATTCCGTCTATTTTTTCTACGAAGATATTTCCTTTTCTGCCGTTGGCCTCAAAGCGCTTGAAATCTCCACTTGCAAATTCCACAAAAAGAGAGTTTCAAATCTGCTCTGTCTAAAGGAAGGTTCAACTCTGTGAGTTGAATACACACCACAAAAAGAAGTTACTGAGAATTCTTCTGTCTAGCATTATATGAAAAATCCCGTTTCCAACGAAGGCCACAAAGAGGTCCAAATATCCACTTGCAGATTCTGCAAAAAGAGTGTTTCCAAACTGCTCTATGAAAAGAAACGTTAAACTCTGTGAGTTGAACGCAAACATCACAAAGTAGTTTCTGAGAATGACTCCGTCTAGTTTTTATACGAAGATATTTCCTTTTCTACCGTTGGCCTCAAAGCGCTTGAAGTCTCCCCCTGAAAATTCCACAAAAAGTGTTTCCAATCTGCTCCGCCTAAAGGAAGCTTCAACTCTGTGAGTTGAATACCCACAACACAAAGAAGTTACTGAGAATACTTCTGTCTAGCATTATATGAAGAAATCCCGTTTCCAACGAAGGCGTCAAATACATCCACATATCCACTTGCTGACTTTACAAACTGAGTGTTTCCAAACTGCTCTATGAAAGGAAAGGTTAAACACTGTGAGTTGAACACACACGTACCAAAGTAGTTTCTGAGAATGATTGTGTCCAGTTTGCATACGAAGATATTTCCTTTTCTACCATTGGCCTCAAAGCTTTGAAATCTCCACTTGCAAATTCCACAAAAAGAGAGTTTCAAATCTGCTGTTTCTAAAGGAAAGTTCAACTCTGAGAGTTGAATACACACCAGAAAAAGCAGTTACTGAGAAGTCTTCTGTCTAGCATTATATGAAGAAATCCCATTTCCAACGAAGACTTCAAAGAGGTCCAAATATCCACTTGCAGATTCTGCAAAAAGAGTGTTTCGAAACAACTGTATGAAAAGAAAGCTTAAACACTGTGAGTTGAACGCACACATTGCAAAGCAGTTTCTGAGAATGATTCCGTCTAATTATTATACGAAGGTATTTCCTTTTCTATCATTGGCCTCAAAGCGCTTGATACCTCCACCTGAAAGTTCCACAAAAAGAGTGTTTCCAATCTACTCTGTCTAAAGGAACGTTCAACTCTGTGAGTTGAATACACACACACAGAAAGAATTCACTGAGAGTTCTTCTGTCTGGCATTACATGAAGAAATCCCGTTTCCAACGAAGGCCTCAAAGAGGTCCAAATATCCACTTGCAGATTCTGCAAAAAGAGTGTTTCAAAACCGCTCCATTAAAAGGAATGTTGAACTCTGTGAGTTGAATGCAAACATCACAACTCAGTTTCTGAGAATGCTTCTGACTAGATTTTATGGTAAGATATTTCCTTTTCTACCGTAGGCTTCAATGCCCTCTAAATACACCCTTGCAAATTCTACAAAGAGACTGTTTCATAACTGCTCTATAGGAAGAAAGGTTCAACTCTGTGAGTTGAATGCAGAGATCACAACGTGGTTTCTGCGAATGATTCTTTGTAGTTTTTACATGAAGATATTTCGTTGTCAACCGTAGGCTTCAAAGCACTCAAAGTATTCACTTGGAACTTTTACAAAAAGAGTGTTAGAAAACTGCTCTTTCCAAAGTAAGGTTCAACTCTGTGAGTTGAATGCACACATAACAATCAAGAAGTTTCTGAGAATTCTTCTGTCCTGGTTTATATGAAAAAATCCCGTTTCCAACGAAGGCCTCAAAGACGTTTAAATATCCACTTGCAGACTTCACAAAGAGGGTTTCCAAACTGCTCTATGAAAAGAAAGGTTAAACTCTGTGAGTTGAACGCACACATCACAAAGTAGCTTCTGAGAATGATACTGTCTAGTTTTTATACGAAGATATTTCCTTTTGTACCATTGGCCTCATACTGCTAGAATTTTCCACTTGCAAATTCCACAAAAAGAGTGTTTCCAATCTGCTCTGTCTAAAGGAAGGTTCAACTCTGTGAGTTGAGTACACACACACAAAGAAGCTACTGAGAATTCTTTTGTCAAGAATTATAAGAAGAAATCCCGTTTCCAACGAAGGCCTCAAAGAGTTCCAAATATCCACTTGCACACTGTACAAACTAAGTCTTTCCAAACTGCTCTATGCAAAGAAATGTTCAACCCTGTGAGATTAATGCACACATCACAAAGCAGTTTCTGAGAATGATTCCCTCTAGTTTTTATAGGAAGATAGCCTTTTCTACCATTGGCCTCAAGGCTCTTGGAATCTCCACCTGAAAATTCCGCAAAAAGCATGTTTCCAATGCGCTCTGTCTAAAGGAAGGTTCAACTCTCTGAGTTGAATACATACATCCCAAAAGATGTTACTGCGAATTCTTCTGTCTAGCATTATGTGAAGAAATCCCGTTTCCAACCAAAGCCTCCAAGAGGTCCTAATATCCAGTTGCAGAATTTACAAACTGACTGTTTCCAAACTCATCTATGAAAAGAAAGGTTAAACCCTGTGAGTTGAATGCACATATCACAAAGTAGTTCCTGAGAATGATTCTGTCTAGTTTTTATACAAAGATATTTCCTTTTCCACCAATGGCCTCAAAGTGCTTGAAATCTCCCCTTGCAAATTCCACAGAAAAGTGTTTCAAATCTGCACTGCCTGAAGGAAGGTTCAACCCTGTGAGTTGAATACACACACACAGAAAAAAATTCACTGAGAATTCTATTGTCTATCATTACACGAAGAAATCCCGTTTACTACGAAGGCCTCAAAGAGGTCCAAATATCCAGCTGCAGACATTACAAACTGAGTGTTTCCAAAGTGCTCTATGAAAAGAAGTGTTAAACACTGTGAGTTCAATGCACACATCCCAAAGCAGTTTCTGAGAATGATTCCGTCTATTTTTTCTACGAAGATATTTCCTTTTCTGCCGTTGGCCTCAAAGCGCTTGAAATCTCCACTTGCAAATTCCACAAAAAGAGAGTTTCAAATCTGCTCTGTCTAAAGGAAGGTTCAACTCTGTGAGTTGAATACACACCACAAAAAGAAGTTACTGAGAATTCTTCTGTCTAGCATTATATGAAAAATCCCGTTTCCAACGAAGGCCACAAAGAGGTCCAAATATCCACTTGCAGATTCTGCAAAAAGAGTGTTTCCAAACTGCTCTATGAAAAGAAACGTTAAACTCTGTGAGTTGAACGCAAACATCACAAAGTAGTTTCTGAGAATGACTCCGTCTAGTTTTTATACGAAGATATTTCCTTTCCTACCATTCACTTCAAAGCGCTTGAAGTCTCCCCCTGAAAATTCCACAAAAAGTGTTTCCAATCTGCTCCGCCTAAAGGAAGCTTCAACTCTGTGAGTTGAATACCCACAACCCAAAGAAGTTACTGAGAATTCTTCTGTCTAGCATTATATGAAGAAATCCCGTTTCCAACGAAGGCCTCAAATACATCCAAATATCCAGTTGCTGACTTTACAAACTGAGTGTTTCCAAACTGCTCTATGAAAAGAAAGGTTAACACTGTGAGTTGAACACACACGTACCAAAGTAGTTTCTGAGAATGATTCTGTCTAGTTTGCATACGAAGATATTTCCTTTTCTACCATTGGCCTCAAAGCTCTGAAATCTCCACTTGCAAATTCCACAAAAAGAGAGTTTCAAATCTGCTGTTTCTAAAGGAAAGTTCAACTCTGAGAGTTGAATACACACCAGAAAAAGCAGTTACTGAGAAGTCTTCTGTCTAGCATTATATGAAGAAATCCCATTTCCAACGAAGACTTCAAAGAGGTCCAAATATCCACTTGCAGATTCTGCAAAAAGAGTGTTTCGAAACAACTGTATGAAAAGAAAGGTTAAACACTGTGAGTTGAACGCACACATTGCAAAGCGGTTTCTGAGAATGATTCCGTCTAATTATTATACGAAGGTATTTCCTTTTCTATCATTGGCCTCAAAGCGCTTGATACCTCCACCTGAAAATTCCACAAAAAGAGTGTTTCCAATCTACTCTGTCTAAAGGAACGTTCAACTCTGTGAGTTGAATACACACCACAAAAAGAAGTTACTGATAATTCTTCTGTCTGGCATTACATGAAGAAATCCCGTTTCCAACGAAGGCCTCAAAGAGGTCCAAATATCCACTTGCAGATTCTGCAAAAAGAGTGTTTCAAAACCGCTCCATTAAAAGGAATGTTGAACTCTGTGAGTTGAATGCAAACATCACAACTCAGTTGCTGAGAATGCTTCTGACTAGATTTTATGGTAAGATATTTCCTTTTCTACCGTAGGCTTCAATGCCCTCTAAATACACCCTTGCAAATTCTACAAAGAGACTGTTTCATAACTGCTCTATAGGAAGAAAGGTTGAACTCTGTGAGTTGACTGCAGAGATCACAACGTGGTTTCTGCGAATGATTCTTTGTAGTTTTTACATGAAGATATTTCGTTGTCAACCGTAGGCTTCAAAGCACTCAAAGTATTCACTTGGAACTTTTACAAAAAGAGTGTTAGAAAACTGCTCTTTCCAAAGTAAGGTTCAACTCTGTGAGTTGAATGCACCCATAACAATCAAGAAGTTTCTGAGAATTCTTCTGTCCTGGTTTATATGAAAAAATCCCGTTTCCAACGAAGGCCTCAAAGACGTTTAAATATCCACTTGCAGACTTCACAAACAGAGGGTTTCCAAACTGCTCTATGAAAAGAAAGGTTAAACTCTGTGAGCTGAACGCACACATCACAAAGTAGCTTCTGAGAATGATACTGTCTAGTTTTTATACGAAGATATTTCCTTTCTACCATTGGCGTCAAAGCGCTAGAATTCTCCACTTGCAAATTCCACAAAAAGAGTGTTTCCAATCTGCTCTGTCTCAAGGAAGGTTCAACTCTGTGAGTTGAATACACACACACAAAGAAGCTACTGAGAATTCTTTTGTCAAGAATTATAAGAAGAAATCCCGTTTCCAACGAAGGCCTCAAAGAGTTCCAAATATCCACTTGCACACTGCACAAACTAAGTCTTTCCAAACTGCTCTATGCAAAGAAATGTTCAACTCTGTGAGTTTAATACACACATCACAAAGCAGTTTCTGAGAATGATACTGTCTAGTTTTTATACGAAGATATTTCCTTTTGTACCATTGGCCTCATACTGCTAGAATTTTCCACTTGCAAATTCCACAAAAAGAGTGTTTCCAATCCGCTCTGTCTAAAGGAAGGTTCAACTCTCTGATTTGAATACATACATCCCAAAAGAAGTTACTGAGAATTCTTCTGTCTAGCATTATGTGAAGAAATCCCGTTTCCATTGAAAGCCTCAAAGAGGTCCAAATATCCAGTTGCAGAATTTACAAACTGACTGTTTCCAAACTCATCTATGAAAAGAAAGGTTAAACTCTGGGAGTTGAATGCACATATCACAAAGTAGTTCCTGAGAATGATTCTGTCTAGTTTTTATATGAAGATATTTCCTTTTCCACCAATGGCCTCAAAGTGCTTGAAATCTCCCCTTGCAAATTCCACAGACAAGTGTTTCAAATCTGCACTGTCTAAAGGAAGGTACAACCCTGTGAGTTGAATACACACACACAGAAAAAAATTCACTGAGAATTCTATTGTCTATCATTACACGAAGAAATCCCGTTTACTACGAAGGCCTCAAAGAGGTCCAAATATCCAGCTGCAGACATTACAAACTGAGTGTTTCCAAAGTGCTCTATGAAAAGAAGTGTTAAACACTGTGAGTTCAATGCACACATCCCAAAGCAGTTTCTGAGAATGATTCCGTCTATTTTTTCTACGAAGATATTTCCTTTTCTGCCGTTGGCCTCAAAGCGCTTGAAATCTCCACTTGCAAATTCCACAAAAAGAGAGTTTCAAATCTGCTCTGTCTAAAGGAAGGTTCAACTCTGTGAGTTGAATACACACCACAAAAAGAAGTTACTGAGAATTCTTCTGTCTAGCATTATATGAAAAATCCCGTTTCCAACGAAGGCCACAAAGAGGTCCAAATATCCACTTGCAGATTCTGCAAAAAGAGTGTTTCCAAACTGCTCTATGAAAAGAAACGTTAAACTCTGTGAGTTGAACGCAAACATCACAAAGTAGTTTCTGAGAATGACTCCGTCTAGTTTTTATACGAAGATATTTCCTTTCCTACCATTCACTTCAAAGCGCTTGAAGTCTCCCCCTGAAAATTCCACAAAAAGTGTTTCCAATCTGCTCCGCCTAAAGGAAGCTTCAACTCTGTGACTTGAATACCCACAACCCAAAGAAGTTACTGAGAATTCTTCTGTCTAGCATTATATGAAGAAATCCCGTTTCCAACGAAGGCCTCAAATACATCCAAATATCCAGTTGCTGACTTTACAAACTGAGTGTTTCCAAACTGCTCTATGAAAAGAAAGGTTAAACACTGTGAGTTGAACACACACGTACCAAAGTAGTTTCTGAGAATGATTCTGTCTAGTTTGCATACGAAGATATTTCCTTTTCTACCATTGGCCTCAAAGCTCTGAAATCTCCACTTGCAAATTCCACAAAAAGAGAGTTTCAAATCTGCTGTTTCTAAAGGAAAGTTCAACTCTGAGAGTTGAATACACACCAGAAAAAGCAGTTACTGAGAAGTCTTCTGTCTAGCATTATATGAAGAAATCCCATTTCCAACGAAGACTTCAAAGAGGTCCAAATATCCACTTGCAGATTCTGCAAAAAGAGTGTTTCGAAACAACTGTATGAAAAGAAAGGTTAAACACTGTGAGTTGAACGCACACATTGCAAAGCGGTTTCTGAGAATGATTCCGTCTA
Source organism: Homo sapiens (assembly GCF_000001405.40). Lineage (NCBI taxonomy): Eukaryota > Metazoa > Chordata > Mammalia > Primates > Hominidae > Homo > Homo sapiens. The sequence continues at coordinate 93,600,796 of NC_000003.12, read as the reverse complement.
ATTATTATACGAAGGTATTTCCTTTTCTATCATTGGCCTCAAAGCGCTTGATACCTCCACCTGAAAATTCCACAAAAAGAGTGTTTCCAATCTACTCTGTCTAAAGGAACGTTCAACTCTGTGAGTTGAATACACACACACAGAAAGAATTCACTGAGAATTCTTCTGTCTGGCATTACATGAAGAAATCCCGTTTCCAACGAAGGCCTCAAAGAGGTCCAAATATCCACTTGCAGATTCTGCAAAAAGAGTGTTTCAAAACCGCTCCATTAAAAGGAATGTTGAACTCTGTGAGTTGAATGCAAACATCACAACTCAGTTTCTGAGAATGCTTCTGACTAGATTTTATGGTAAGATATTTCCTTTTCTACCGTAGGCTTCAATGCCCTCTAAATACACCCTTGCAAATTCTACAAAGAGACTGTTTAATAACTGCTCTATAGGAAGAAAGGTTGAACTCTGTGAGTTGAATGCAGAGATCACAACGTGGTTTCGGCGAATGATTCTTTGTAGTTTTTACATGAAGATATTTCGTTGTCAACCGTAGGCTTCAAAGCACTCAAAGTATTCACTTGGAACTTTTACAAAAAGAGTGTTAGAAAACTGCTCTTTCCAAAGTAAGGTTCAACTCTGTGAGTTGAATGCACACATAACAATCAAGAAGTTTCTGAGAATTCTTCTGTCCTGGTTTATATGAAAAAATCCCGTTTCCAACGAAGGACTCAAAGACGTTTAAATATCCACTTGCAGACTTCACAAACAGAGGGTTTCCAAACTGCTCTATGAAAAGAAAGGTTAAACTCTGTGAGTTGAACGCACACATCACAAAGTAGCTTCTGAGAATGATACTGTCTAGTTTTTATACGAAGATATTTCCTTTCTACCATTGGCGTCAAAGCGCTAGAATTCTCCACTTGCAAATTCCACAAAAAGAGTGTTTCCAATCTGCTCTGTCTAAAGGAAGGTTCAACTCTGTGAGTTGAATACACACACACAAAGAAGCTACTGAGAATTCTTTTGTCAAGAATTATAAGAAGAAATCCCGTTTCCAACGAAGGCCTCAAAGAGTTCCAAATATCCACTTGCACACTGCACAAACTAAGTCTTTCCAAACTGCTCTATGCAAAGAAATGTTCAACTCTGTGAGTTTAATACACACATCACAAAGCAGTTTCTGAGAATGATACTGTCTAGTTTTTATACGAAGATATTTCCTTTTGTACCATTGGCCTCATACTGCTAGAATTTTCCACTTGCAAATTCCACAAAAAGAGTGTTTCCAATCCGCTCTGTCTAAAGGAAGGTTCAACTCTCTGATTTGAATACATACATCCCAAAAGAAGTTACTGAGAATTCTTCTGTCTAGCATTATGTGAAGAAATCCCGTTTCCAACGAAAGCCTCAAAGAGGTCCAAATATCCAGTTGCAGAATTTACAAACTGACTGTTTCCAAACTCATCTATGAAAAGAAAGGTTAAACTCTGTGAGTTGAATGCACATATCACAAAGTAGTTCCTGAGAATGATTCTGTCTAGTTTTTATACGAAGATATTTCCTTTTCCACCAATGGCCTCAAAGTGCTTGAAATCTCCCCTTGCAAATTCCACAGACAAGTGTTTCAAATCTGCACTGTCTAAAGGAAGGTTCAACCCTGTGAGTTGAATACACACACACAGAAACAAATTCACTGAGAATTCTATTGTCTATCATTACACGAAGAAATCCCGTTTACTACGAAGGCCTCAAAGAGGTCCAAATATCCAGCTGCAGACATTACAAACTGAGTGTTTCCAAAGTGCTCTATGAAAAGAAGTGTTAAACACTGTGAGTTCAATGCACACATCCCAAAGCAGTTTCTGAGAATGATTCCGTCTATTTTTTCTACGAAGATATTTCCTTTTCTACCGTTGGCCTCAAAGCGCTTGAAATCTCCACTTGCAAATTCCACAAAAAGAGAGTTTCAAATCTGCTCTGTCTAAAGGAAGGTTCAACTCTGTGAGTTGAATACACACCACAAAAAGAAGTTACTGAGAATTCTTCTGTCTAGCATTATATGAAAAATCCCGTTTCCAACGAAGGCCACAAAGAGGTCTAAATATCCACTTGCAGATTCTGCAAAAAGAGTGTTTCCAAACTGCTCTATGAAAAGAAACGTTAAACTACTGTGAGTTGAACGCAAACATCACAAAGTAGTTTCTGAGAATGACTTCCGTCTAGTTTTTATACGAAGATATTTCCTTTCCTACCATTCACTTCAAAGCGCTTGAAGTCTCCCCCTGAAAATTCCACAAAAAGTGTTTCCAATCTGCTCCGCCTAAAGGAAGCTTCAACTCTGTGACTTGAATACCCACAACCCAAAGAAGTTACTGAGAATTCTTCTGTCTAGCATTATATGAAGAAATCCCGTTTCCAACGAAGGCCTCAAATACATCCAAATATCCAGTTGCTGACTTTACAAACTGAGTGTTTCCAAACTGCTCTATGAAAAGAAAGGTTAAACACTGTGAGTTGAACACACACGTACCAAAGTAGTTTCTGAGAATGATTCTGTCTAGTTTGCATACGAAGATATTTCCTTTTCTACCATTGGCCTCAAAGCTCTGAAATCTCCACTTGCAAATTCCACAAAAAGAGAGTTTCAAATCTGCTGTTTCTAAAGGAAAGTTCAACTCTGAGAGTTGAATACACACCAGAAAAAGCAGTTACTGAGAAGTCTTCTGTCTAGCATTATATGAAGAAATCCCATTTCCAACGAAGACTTCAAAGAGGTCCAAATATCCACTTGCAGATTCTGCAAAAAGAGTGTTTCGAAACAACTGTATGAAAAGAAAGGTTAAACACTGTGAGTTGAACGCACACATTGCAAAGCAGTTTCTGAGAATGATTCCGTCTAATTATTATACGAAGGTATTTCCTTTTCTATCATTGGCCTCAAAGCGCTTGATACCTCCACCTGAAAATTCCACAAAAAGAGTGTTTCCAATCTACTCTGTCTAAAGGAACGTTCAACTCTGTGAGTTGAATACACACACACAGAAAGAATTCACTGAGAATTCTTCTGTCTGGCATTACATGAAGAAATCCCGTTTCCAACGAAGGCCTCAAAGAGGTCCAAATATCCACTTGCAGATTCTGCAAAAAGAGTGTTTCAAAACCGCTCCATTAAAAGGAATGTTGAACTCTGTGAGTTGAATGCAAACATCACAACTCAGTTGCTGAGAATGCTTCTGACTAGATTTTATGGTAAGATATTTCCTTTTCTACCGTAGGCTTCAATGCCCTCTAAATACACCCTTGCAAATTCTACAAAGAGACTGTTTCATAACTGCTCTATAGGAAGAAAGGTTGAACTCTGTGAGTTGAATGCAGAGATCACAACGTGGTTTCTGCGAATGATTCTTTGTAGTTTTTACATGAAGATATTTCGTTGTCAACCGTAGGCTTCAAAGCACTCAAAGTATTCACTTGGAACTTTTACAAAAAGAGTGTTACAAAACTGCTCTTTCCAAAGTAAGGTTCAACTCTGTGAGTTGAATGCACACATAACAATCAAGAAGTTTCTGAGAATTCTTCTGTCCTGGTTTATATGAAGAAATCCCGTTTCCAACGAAGGCCTCAAAGACGTTTAAATATCCACTTGCAGACTTCACAAACAGAGGGATTCCAAACTGCTCTATGAAAAGAAAGGTTAAACTCTGTGAGTTGAACGCACACATCACAAAGTAGCTTCTGAGAATGATACTGTCTAGTTTTTATACGAAGATATTTCCTTTCTACCATTGGCGTCAAAGCGCTAGAATTCTCCACTTGCAAATTCCACAAAAAGAGTGTTTCCAATCTGCTCTGTCTAAAGGAAGGTTCAACTCTGTGAGTTGAATACACACACACAAAGAAGCTACTGAGAATTCTTTTGTCAAGAATTATAAGAAGAAATCCCCTTTCCAACCAAGGCCTCAAAGAGTTCCAAATATCCACTTGCACACTGCACAAACTAAGTCTTTCCATACTGCTCTATGCAAAGAAATGTTCAACTCTGTGAGTTTAATACACACATCACAAAGCAGTTTCTGAGAATGATACTGTCTAGTTTTTATACGAAGATATTTCCTTTTGTACCATTGGCCTCATACTGCTAGAATTTTCCACTTGCAAATTCCACAAAAAGAGTGTTTCCAATCCGCTCTGTCTAAAGGAAGGTTCAACTCTCTGATTTGAATACATACATCCCAAAAGAAGTTACTGAGAATTCTTCTGTCTAGCATTATGTGAAGAAATCCCGTTTCCAACGAAAGCCTCAAAGAGGTCCAAATATCCAGTTGCAGAATTTACAAACTGACTGTTTCCAAACTCATCTATGAAAAGAAAGGTTAAACTCTGTGAGTTGAATGCACATATCACAAAGTAGTTCCTGAGAATGATTCTGTCTAGTTTTCATACGAAGATATTTCCTTTTCCACCAATGGCCTCAAAGTGCTTGAAATCTCCCCTTGCAAATTCCACAGACAAGTGTTTCAAATCTGCACTGTCTAAAGGAAGGTTCAACCCTGTGAGTTGAATACACACACACAGAAAAAAATTCACTGAGAATTCTATTGTCTATCATTACACGAAGAAATCCCGTTTACTACGAAGGCCTCAAAGAGGTCCAAATATCCAGCTGCAGACATTACAAACTGAGTGTTTCCAAAGTGCTCTATGAAAAGAAGTGTTAAACACTGTGAGTTCAATGCACACATCCCAAAGCAGTTTCTGAGAATGATTCCGTCTATTTTTTCTACGAAGATATTTCCTTTTCTGCCGTTGGCCTCAAAGCGCTTGAAATCTCCACTTGCAAATTCCACAAAAAGAGAGTTTCAAATCTGCTCTGTCTAAAGGAAGGTTCAACTCTGTGAGTTGAATACACACCACAAAAAGAAGTTACTGAGAATTCTTCTGTCTAGCATTATATGAAAAATCCCGTTTCCAACGAAGGCCACAAAGAGGTCCAAATATCCACTTGCAGATTCTGCAAAAAGAGTGTTTCCAAACTGCTCTATGAAAAGAAACGTTAAACTCTGTGAGTTGAACGCAAACATCACAAAGTAGTTTCTGAGAATGACTCCGTCTAGTTTTTATACGAAGATATTTCCTTTCCTACCATTCACTTCAAAGCGCTTGAAGTCTCCCCCTGAAAATTCCACAAAAAGTGTTTCCAATCTGCTCCGCCTAAAGGAAGCTTCAACTCTGTGAGTTGAATACCCACAACCCAAAGAAGTTACTGAGAATTCTTCTGTCTAGCATTATATGAAGAAATCCCGTTTCCAACGAAGGCCTCAAATACATCCAAATATCCAGTTGCTGACTTTACAAACTGAGTGTTTCCAAACTGCTCTATGAAAAGAAAGGTTAAACACTGTGAGTTGAACACACACGTACCAAAGTAGTTTCTGAGAATGATTCTGTCTAGTTTGCATACGAAGATATTTCCTTTTCTACCATTGGCCTCAAAGCTCTGAAATCTCCACTTGCAAATTCCACAAAAAGAGAGTTTCAAATCTGCTGTTTCTAAAGGAAAGTTCAACTCTGAGAGTTGAATACACACCAGAAAAAGCAGTTACTGAGAAGTCTTCTGTCTAGCATTATATGAAGAAATCCCATTTCCAACGAAGACTTCAAAGAGGTCCAAATATCCACTTGCAGATTCTGCAAAAAGAGTGTTTTGAAACAACTGTATGAAAAGAAAAGTTAAACACTGTGAGTTGAACGCACACATTGCAAAGCAGTTTCTGAGAATGATTCCGTCTAATTATTATACGAAGGTATTTCCTTTTCTATCATTGGCCTCAAAGCGCTTGATACCTCCACCTGAAAATTCCACAAAAAGAGTGTTTCCAATCTACTCTGTCTAAAGGAACGTTCAACTCTGTGAGTTGAATACACACACACAGAAAGAATTCACTGAGAATTCTTCTGTCTGGCATTACATGAAGAAATCCCGTTTCCAACGAAGGCCTCAAAGAGGTCCAAATATCCACTTGCAGATTCTGCAAAAAGAGTGTTTCAAAACCGCTCCATTAAAAGGAATGTTGAACTCTGTGAGTTGAATGGAAACATCACAACTCAGTTGCTGAGAATGCTTCTGACTAGATTTTATGGTAAGATATTTCCTTTTCTACCGTAGGCTTCAATGCCCTCTAAATACACCCTTGCAAATTCTACAAAGAGACTGTTTCATAACTGCTCTATAGGAAGAAAGGTTCAACTCTGTGAGTTGAATGCAGAGATCACAACGTGGTTTCTGCGAATGATTCTTTGTAGTTTTTACAAGAAGATATTTCGTTGTCAACCGTAGGCTTCAAAGCACTCAAAGTATTCACTTGGAACTTTTACAAAAAGAGTGTTAGAAAACTGCTCTTTCCAAAGTAAGGTTCAACTCTGTGAGTTGAATGCACACATAACAATCAAGAAGTTTCTGAGAATTCTTCTGTCCTGGTTTATATGAAAAAATCCCGTTTCCAACGAAGGCCTCAGAGACGTTTAAATATCCACTTGCAGACTTCACAAACAGAGTGTTTCCAAACTGCTCTATGAAAAGAAAGGTTAAACTCTGTGAGTTGAACGCACACATCACAAAGTTGTTTCTGAGAATGATACTGTCTAGTTTTTATACGAAGATATTTCCTTTTGTACCATTGGCCTCATACTGCTAGAATTTTCCACTTGCAAATTCCACAAAAAGAATATTTCCAATCTGCTCTGTCTAAAGGAAGGTTCAACTCTGTGAGTTGAGTACACACACACAAAGAAGCTACTGAGAATTCTTTTGTCAAGAATTATAAGAAGAAATCCCGTTTCCAACCAAGGCCTCAAAGAGTTCCAAATATCCACTTGCACACTGCACAAACTAAGTCTTTCCATACTGCTCTATGCAAAGAAATGTTCAAATCTGTGAGTTTAATACACACATCACAAAGCAGTTTCTGAGAATGATACTGTCTAGTTTTTATACGAAGATATTTCCTTTTGTACCATTGGCCTCATACTGCTAGAATTTTCCACTTGCAAATTCCACAAAAAGAGTGTTTCCAATCCGCTCTGTCTAAAGGAAGGTTCAACTCTCTGATTTGAATACATACATCCCAAAAGAAGTTACTGAGAATTCTTCTGTCTAGCATTATGTGAAGAAATCCCGTTTCCAACGAAAGCCTCAAAGAGGTCCAAATATCCAGTGGCAGAATTTACAAACTGACTGTTTCCAAACTCATCTATGAAAAGAAAGGTTAAACTCTGGGAGTTGAATGCACATATCACAAAGTAGTTCCTGAGAATGATTCTGTCTAGTTTTTATACGAAGATATTTCCTTTTCCACCAATGGCCTCAAAGTGCTTGAAATCTCCCCTTGCAAATTCCACAGACAAGTGTTTCAAATCTGCACTGTCTAAAGGAAGGTTCAACCCTGTGAGTTGAATACACACACACAGAAAAAAATTCACTGAGAATTCTATTGTCTATCATTACACGAAGAAATCCCGTTTACTACGAAGGCCTCAAAGAGGTCCAAATATCCAGCTGCAGACATTTCAAACTGAGTGTTTCCAAAGTGCTCTATGAAAAGAAGTGTTAAACACTGTGAGTTCAATGCACACATCCCAAAGCAGTTTCTGAGAATGATTCCGTCTATTTTTTCTACGAAGATATTTCCTTTTCTACCGTTGGCCTCAAAGCGCTTGAAATCTCCACTTGCAAATTCCACAAAAAGAGAGTTTCAAATCTGCTCTGTCTAAAGGAAGGTTCAACTCTGTGAGTTGAATACACACCACAAAAAGAAGTTACTGAGAATTCTTCTGTCTAGCATTATATGAAAAATCCCGTTTCCAACGAAGGCCACAAAGAGGTCCAAATATCCACTTGCAGATTCTGCAAAAAGAGTGTTTCCAAACTGCTCTATGAAAAGAAACGTTAAACTCTGTGAGTTGAACGCAAACATCACAAAGTAGTTTCTGAGAATGACTCCGTCTAGTTTTTATACGAAGATATTTCCTTTCCTACCATTCACTTCAAAGCGCTTGAAGTCTCCCCCTGAAAATTCCACAAAAAGTGTTTCCAATCTGCTCCGCCTAAAGGAAGCTTCAACTCTGTGACTTGAATACCCACAACCCAAAGAAGTTACTGAGAATTCTTCTGTCTAGCATTATATGAAGAAATCCCGTTTCCAACGAAGGCCTCAAATACATCCAAATATCCAGTTGCTGACTTTACAAACTGAGTGTTTCCAAACTGCTCTATGAAAAGAAAGGTTAAACACTGTGAGTTGAACACACACGTACCAAAGTAGTTTCTGAGAATGATTCTGTCTAGTTTGCATACGAAGATATTTCCTTTTCTACCATTGGCCTCAAAGCTCTGAAATCTCCACTTGCAAATTCCACAAAAAGAGAGTTTCAACTCTGCTGTTTCTAAAGGAAAGTTCAACTCTGAGAGTTGAATACACACCAGAAAAAGCAGTTACTGAGAAGTCTTCTGTCTAGCATTATATGAAGAAATCCCATTTCCAACGAAGACTTCAAAGAGGTCCAAATATCCACTTGCAGATTCTGCAAAAAGAGTGTTTCGAAACAACTGTATGAAAAGAAAGGTTAAACACTGTGAGTTGAACGCACACATTGCAAAGCAGTTTCTGAGAATGATTCCGTCTAATTATTATACGAAGGTATTTCCGTTTCTATCATTGGCCTGAAAGCGCTTGATATCTCCACCTGAAAATTCCACAAAAAGAGTGTTTCCAATCTACTCTGTCTAAAGGAACGTTCAACTCAGTGAGTTGAATACACACACACAGAAAGAATTCACTGAGAATTCTTCTCTCTGGCATTTACATGAAGAAATCCCGTTTCCAACGAAGGCCTCAAAGAGGTCCAAATATCCACTTGCAGATTCTGCAAATAGAGTGTTTCAAAACCGCTCTATTAAAAGGAATGTTGAACTCTGTGAGTTGAACGCAAACATCACAACTCAGTTTCTGAGAATGCTTCTGACTAGATTTTATGGTCAGATATTTCCTTTTCTACCGTAGGCTTCAATGCCCTCTAAATACACCCTTGCAAATTCTACAAAGAGACTGTTTAATAACTGCTCTATAGGAAGAAAGGTTGAACTCTGTGAGTTGAATGCAGAGATCACAACGTGGTTTCGGCGAATGATTCTTCTCAGTTTTTACATGAAGATATTTCGTTCTCTACCGTAGGCTTCAAAGCACTCAAAGTATTCACTTGGAACTTTTACAAAAAGAGTGTTAGAAAACTGCTCTTTCCAAAGTAAGGTTCAACTCTGTGAGTTGAATGCACACATAACAAACAAGAAGTTTCTGAGAATTCTTCTGTCCTGGTTTATATGAAAAAATCCCGTTTCCAACGAAGGCCTCAAAGACGTTTAAATATCCACTTGCAGACTTCACAAACAGAGTGTTTCCAAACTGCTCTATGAAAAGAAAGGTTAAACTCTGTGAGTTGAACGCACACATCACAAAGTAGTTTCTGAGAATGATACTGTCCAGTTTTTATACGAAGATATTTCCTTTCCTACCATTGGCGTCAAAGCGCTAGAATTCTCCACTTGCAAATTCCACAAAAAGAGGGTTTCCAATCTGCTCTGCCTAAAGGCAGGTTCAACTCTGTGAGTTGAATACACACACACAAAGAAGCTACTGAGAATTCTTTTGTCAAGAATTATAAGAAGAAATCCCGTTTCCAACGAAGGCCTCAAAGAGTTCCAAATATCCACTTGCACACTGCACAAACTAAGTCTTTCCAAACTGCTCTATGCAAAGAAATGTTCAACTCTGTGAGTTTAATACACACATCACAAAGCAGTTTCTGAGAATGATACTGTCTAGTTTTTATACGAAGATATTTCCTTTTGTACCATTGGCCTCATACTGCTAGAATTTTCCACTTGCAAATTCCACAAAAAGAGTGTTTCCAATCCGCTCTGTCTAAAGGAAGGTTCAACTCTCTGATTTGAATACATACATCCCAAAAGAAGTTACTGAGAATTCTTCTGTCTAGCATTATGTGAAGAAATCCCGTTTCCAACGAAAGCCTCAAAGAGGTCCAAATATCCAGTTGCAGAATTTACAAACTGACTGTTTCCAAACTCATCTATGAAAAGAAAGGTTAAACTCTGTGAGTTGAATGCACATATCACAAAGTAGTTCCTGACAATGATTCTGTCTAGTTTTTATACGAAGATATTTCCTTTTCCACCAATGGCCTCAAAGTGCTTGAAATCTCCCCTTGCAAATTCCACAGACAAGTGTTTCAAATCTGCACTGTCTAAAGGAAGGTTCAACCCTGTGAGTTGAATACACACACACAGAAAAAAATTCACTGAGAATTCTATTGTCTATCATTACACGAAGAAATCCCGTTTACTACGAAGGCCTCAAAGAGGTCCAAATATCCAGCTGCAGACATTACAAACTGAGTGTTTCCAAAGTGCTCTATGAAAAGAAGTGTTAAACACTGTGAGTTCAATGCACACATCCCAAAGCAGTTTCTGAGAATGATTCCGTCTATTTTTTCTACGAAGATATTTCCTTTTCTGCCGTTGGCCTCAAAGCGCTTGAAATCTCCACTTGCAAATTCCACAAAAAGAGAGTTTCAAATCTGCTCTGTCTAAAGGAAGGTTCAACTCTGTGAGTTGAATACACACCACAAAAAGAAGTTACTGAGAATTCTTCTGTCTAGCATTATATGAAAAATCCCGTTTCCAACGAAGGCCACAAAGAGGTCCAAATATCCACTTGCAGATTCTGCAAAAAGAGTGTTTCCAAACTGCTCTATGAAAAGAAACGTTAAACTCTGTGAGTTGAACGCAAACATCACAAAGTAGTTTCTGAGAATGACTCCGTCTAGTTTTTATACGAAGATATTTCCTTTCCTACCATTCACTTCAAAGCGCTTGAAGTCTCCCCCTGAAAATTCCACAAAAAGTGTTTCCAATCTGCTCCGCCTAAAGGAAGCTTCAACTCTGTGACTTGAATACCCACAACCCAAAGAAGTTACTGAGAATTCTTCTGTCTAGCATTATATGAAGAAATCCCGTTTCCAACGAAGGCCTCAAATACATCCAAATATCCAGTTGCTGACTTTACAAACTGAGTGTTTCCAAACTGCTCTATGAAAAGAAAGGTTAAACACTGTGAGTTGAACACACACGTACCAAAGTAGTTTCTGAGAATGATTCTGTCTAGTTTGCATACGAAGATATTTCCTTTTCTACCATTGGCCTCAAAGCTTTGAAATCTCCACTTGCAAATTCCACAAAAAGGGAGTTTCAACTCTGCTGATTCTACAGGAAAGTTCAACTCTGAGAGTTGAATACACACCAGAAAAAGCAGTTACTGAGAAGTCTTCTGTCTAGCATTATATGAAGAAATCCCATTTCCAACGAAGACTTCAAAGAGGTCCAAATATCCACTTGCAGATTCTGCAAAAAGAGTGTTTCGAAACAACTGTATGAAAAGAAAGGTTAAACACTGTGAGTTGAACGCACACATTGCAAAGCAGTTTCTGAGAATGATTCCGTCTAATTATTATACGAAGGTATTTCCTTTTCTATCATTGGCCTCAAAGCGCTTGATACCTCCACCTGAAAATTCCACAAAAAGAGTGTTTCCAATCTACTCTGTCTAAAGGAACGTTCAACTCTGTGAGTTGAATACACACACACAGAAAGAATTCACTGAGAATTCTTCTGTCTGGCATTACATGAAGAAATCCCGTTTCCAACGAAGGCCTCAAAGAGGTCCAAATATCCACTTGCAGATTCTGCAAAAAGAGTGTTTCAAAACCGCTCCATTAAAAGGAATGTTGAACTCTGTGAGTTGAATGCAAACATCACAACTCAGTTTCTGAGAATGCTTCTGACTAGATTTTATGGTAAGATATTTCCTTTTCTACCGTAGGCTTCAATGCCCTCTAAATACACCCTTGCAAATTCTACAAAGAGACTGTTTCATAACTGCTCTATAGGAAGAAAGGTTGAACTCTGTGAGTTGAATGCAGAGATCACAACGTGGTTTCTGCGAATGATTCTTTGTAGTTTTTACATGAAGATATTTCGTTGTCAACCGTAGGCTTCAAAGCACTCAAAGTATTCACTTGGAACTTTTACAAAAAGAGTGTTAGAAAACTGCTCTTTCCAAAGTAAGGTTCAACTCTGTGAGTTGAATGCACACATAACAATCAAGAAGTTTCTGAGAATTCTTCTGTCCTGGTTTATATGAAAAAATCCCGTTTCCAACGAAGGCCTCAAAGACGTTTAAATATCCACTTGCAGACTTCACAAACAGAGGGTTTACAAACTGCTCTATGAAAAGAAAGGTTAAACTCTGTGAGTTGAACGCACACATCACAAAGTAGCTTGCTGAGAATGATACTGTCTAGTTTTTATACGAAGATATTTCCTTTCTACCATTGGCGTCAAAGCGCTAGAATTCTCCACTTGCAAATTCCACAGAAAGAGTGTTTCCAATCTGCTCTGTCTAAAGGAAGGTTCAACTCTGTGAGTTGAATACACACACACAAAGAAGCTACTGAGAATTCTTTTGTCAAGAATTATAAGAAGAAATCCCGTTTCCAACCAAGGCCTCAAAGAGTTCCAAATATCCACTTGCACACTGCACAAACTAAGTCTTTCCATACTGCTCTATGCAAAGAAATGTTCAAATCTGTGAGTTTAATACACACATCACAAAGCAGTTTCTGAGAATGATACTGTCTAGTTTTTATACGAAGATATTTCCTTTTGTACCATTGGCCTCATACTGCTAGAATTTGCCACTTGCAAATTCCACAAAAAGAGTGTTTCCAATCCGCTCTGTCTAAAGGAAGGTTCAACTCTCTGATTTGAATACATACATCCCAAAAGAAGTTACTGAGAATTCTTCTGTCTAGCATTATGTGAAGAAATCCCGTTTCCAACGAAAGCCTCAAAGAGGTCCAAATATCCAGTTGCAGAATTTACAAACTGACTGTTTCCAAACTCATCTATGAAAAGAAAGGTTAAACTCTGGGAGTTGAATGCACATATCACAAAGTAGTTCCTGAGAATGATTCTGTCTAGTTTTTATACGAAGATATTTCCTTTTCCACCAATGGCCTCAAAGTGCTTGAAATCTCCCCTTGCAAATTAAACAGACAAGTGTCTCAAATCTGCACTGTCTAAAGGAAGGTTCAACCCTGTGAGTTGAATACACACACACAGAAAAAAATTCACTGAGAATTCTATTGTCTATCATTACACGAAGAAATCCCGTTTACTACGAAGGCCTCAAAGAGGTCCAAATATCCAGCTGCAGACATTACAAACTGAGTGTTTCCAAAGTGCTCTATGAAAAGAAGTGTTAAACACTGTGAGTTCAATGCACACATCCCAAAGCAGTTTCTGAGAATGATTCCGTCTATTTTTTCTACGAAGATATTTCCTTTTCTGCCGTTGGCCTCAAAGCGCTTGAAATCTCCACTTGCAAATTCCACAAAAAGAGAGTTTCAAATCTGCTCTGTCTAAAGGAAGGTTCAACTCTGTGAGTTGAATACACACCACAAAAAGAAGTTACTGAGAATTCTTCTGTCTAGCATTATATGAAAAATCCCGTTTCCAACGAAGGCCACAAAGAGGTCCAAATATCCACTTGCAGATTCTGCAAAAAGAGTGTTTCCAAACTGCTCTATGAAAAGAAACGTTAAACTCTGTGAGTTGAATGCAAACATCACAAAGTAGTTTCTGAGAATGACTCCGTCTAGTTTTTATACGAAGATATTTCCTTTCCTACCATTCACTTCAAAGCGCTTGAAGTCTCCCCCTGAAAATTCCACAAAAAGTGTTTCCAATCTGCTCCGCCTAAAGGAAGCTTCAACTCTGTGACTTGAATACCCACAACCCAAAGAAGTTACTGAGAATTCTTCTGTCTAGCATTATATGAAGAAATCCCGTTTCCAACGAAGGCCTCAAATACATCCAAATATCCAGTTGCTGACTTTACAAACTGAGTGTTTCCAAACTGCTCTATGAAAAGAAAGGTTAAACACTGTGAGTTGAACACACACGTACCAAAGTAGTTTCTGAGAATGATTCTGTCTAGTTTGCATACGAAGATATTTCCTTTTCTACCATTGGCCTCAAAGCTTTGAAATCTCCACTTGCAAATTCCACAAAAAGAGAGTTTCAAATCTGCTGTTTCTAAAGGAAAGTTCAACTCTGAGAGTTGAATACACACCAGAAAAAGCAGTTACTGAGAAGTCTTCTGTCTAGCATTATATGAAGAAATCCCATTTCCAACGAAGACTTCAAAGAGGTCCAAATATCCACTTGCAGGTTCTGCAAAAAGAGTGTTTCGAAACAACTGTATGAAAAGAAAGGTTAAACGCTGTGAGTTGAAGGCACACATTGCAAAGCAGTTTCTGAGAATGATTCCGTCTAATTATTATACGAAGGTATTTCCTTTTCTATCATTGGCCTCAAAGCGCTTGATACCTCCACCTGAAAATTCCACAAAAAGAGTGTTTCCAATCTACTCTGTCTAAAGGAACGTTCAACTCTGTGAGTTGAATACACACACACAGAAAGAATTCACTGAGAATTCTTCTGTCTGGCATTACATGAAGAAATCCCGTTTCCAACGAAGGCCTCAAAGAGGTCCAAATATCCACTTGCAGATTCTGCAAAAAGAGTGTTTCAAAACCGCTCCATTAAAAGGAATGTTGAACTCTGTGAGTTGAATGCAAACATCACAACTCAGTTTCTGAGAATGCTTCTGACTAGATTTTATGGTAAGATATTTCCTTTTCTACCGTAGGCTTCAATGCCCTCTAAATACACCCTTGCAAATTCTACAAAGAGACTGTTTCATAACTGCTCTATAGGAAGAAAGGTTCAACTCTGTGAGTTGAATGCAGAGATCACAACGTGGTTTCTGCGAATGATTCTTTGTAGTTTTTACATGAAGATATTTCGTTGTCAACCGTAGGCTTCAAAGCACTCAAAGTATTCACTTGGAACTTTTACAAAAAGAGTGTTAGAAAACTGCTCTTTCCAAAGTAAGGTTCAACTCTGTGAGTTGAATGCACACATAACAATCAAGAAGTTTCTGAGAATTCTTCTGTCCTGGTTTATATGAAAAAATCCCGTTTCCAACGAAGGCCTCAAAGACGTTTAAATATCCACTTGCAGACTTCACAAACAGAGTGTTTCCAAACTGCTCTATGAAAAGAAAGGTTAAACTCTGTGAGTTGAACGCACACATCACAAAGTAGTTTCTGAGAATGATACTGTCTAGTTTTTATACGAAGATATTTCCTTTCTACCATTGGCGTCAAAGCGCTAGAATTCTCCACTTGCAAATTCCACAAAAAGAGTGTTTCCAATCTGCTCTGTCTAAAGGAAGGTTCAACTCTGTGAGTTGAATACACACACACAAAGAAGCTACTGAGAATTCTTTTGTCAAGAATTACAAGAAGAAATCCCGTTTCCAACGAAGGCCTCAAAGAGTTCCAAATATCCACTTGCACACTGCACAAACTAAGTCTTTCCAAACTGCTCTATGCAAAGAAATGTTCAACTCTGTGAGTTTAATACACACATCACAAAGCAGTTTCTGAGAATGATACTGTCTAGTTTTTATACGAAGATATTTCCTTTTGTACCATTGGCCTCATACTGCTAGAATTTTCCACTTGCAAATTCCACAAAAAGAGAGTTTCCAATCCGCTCTGTCTAAAGGAAGGTTCAACTCTCTGATTTGAATACATACATCCTAAAAGAAGTTACTGAGAATTCTTCTGTCTAGCATTATGTGAAGAAATCCCGTTTCCAACGAAAGCCTCAAAGAGGTCCAAATATCCAGTTGCAGAATTTACAAACTGACTGTTTCCAAACTCATCTATGAAAAGAAAGGTTAAACTCTGTGAGTTGAATGCACATATCACAAAGTAGTTCCTGAGAATGATTCTGTCTAGTTTTTATACGAACATATTTCCTTTTCCACCACTGGCCTCAAGGTGCTTGAAATCTCCCCTTGCAAATTCCACAAAAAGTGTTTCAAATCTGCACTGTCTAAAGGAAAGTTCAACCCTGTGAGTTGAATACACACACAAAAAAAAATTCACTGAGAATTCTATTGTCTATCATTACACGAAGAAATCCCGTTTACTACGAAGGCCTCAAAGAGGTCCAAATATCCAGCTGCAGACATTACAAACTGAGTGTTTCCAAAGTGCTCTATGAAAAGAAGTGTTAAACACTGTGAGTTCAATGCACACATCCCAAAGCAGTTTCTGAGAATGATTCCGTCTATTTTTTCTACGAAGATATTTCCTTTTCTGCCGTTGGCCTCAAAGCGCTTGAAATCTCCACTTGCAAATTCCACAAAAAGAGAGTTTCAAATCTGCTCTGTCTAAAGGAAGGTTCAACTCTGTGAGTTGAATACACACCACAAAAAGAAGTTACTGAGAATTCTTCTGTCTAGCATTATATGAAAAATCCCGTTTCTAACGAAGGCCACAAAGAGGTCCAAATATCCACTTGCAGATTCTGCAAAAAGAGTGTTTCCAAACTGCTCTATGAAAAGAAACGTTAAACTCTGTGAGTTGAACGCAAACATCACAAAGTAGTTTCTGAGAATGACTCCGTCTAGTTTTTATACGAAGATATTTCCTTTCCTACCATTCACTTCAAAGCGCTTGAAGTCTCCCCCTGAAAATTCCACAAAAAGTGTTTCCAATCTGCTCCGCCTAAAGGAAGCTTCAACTCTGTGACTTGAATACCCACAACCCAAAGAAGTTACTGAGAATTCTTCTGTCTAGCATTATATGAAGAAATCCCGTTTCCAACGAAGGCCTCAAATACATCCAAATATCCAGTTGCTGACTTTACAAACAGTGTTTCCAAACTGCTCTATGAAAAGAAAGGTTAAACACTGTGAGTTGAACACACACGTACCAAAGTAGTTTCTGAGAATGATTCTGTCTAGTTTGCATACGAAGATATTTCCTTTTCTACCATTGGCCTCAAAGCTCTGAAATCTCCACTTTGCAAATTCCACAAAAAGAGAGTTTCAACTCTGCTGTTTCTAAAGGAAAGTTCAACTCTGAGAGTTGAATACACACCAGAAAAAGCAGTTACTGAGAAGTCTTCTGTCTAGCATTATATGAAGAAATCCCATTTCCAACGAAGACTTCAAAGAGGTCCAAATATCCACTTGCAGATTCTGCAAAAAGAGTGTTTCGAAACAACTGTATGAAAAGAAAGGTTAAACACTTGTGAGTTGAACGCACACATTGCAAAGCAGTTTCTGAGAATGATTCCGTCTAATTATTATACGAAGGTATTTCCTTTTCTATCATTGGCCTCAAAGCGCTTGATACCTCCACCTGAAAATTCCACAAAAAGAGTGTTTCCAATCTACTCTGTCTAAAGGAACGTTCAACTCTGTGAGTTGAATACACACACACAGAAAGAATTCACTGAGAATTCTTCTGTCTGGCATTACATGAAGAAATCCCGTTTCCAACGAAGGCCTCAAAGAGGTCCAAATATCCACTTGCAGATTCTGCAAAAAGAGTGTTTCAAAACCGCTCCATGAAAAGGAATGTTGAACTCTGTGAGTTGAATGCAAACATCACAACTCAGTTGCTGAGAATGCTTCTGACTAGATTTTATGGTAAGATATTTCCTTTTCTACCGTAGGCTTCAATGCCCTCTAAATACACCCTTGCAAATTCTACAAAGAGACTGTTTCATAACTGCTCTATAGGAAGAAAGGTTGAACTCTGTGAGTTGAATGCAGAGATCACAACGTGGTTTCTGCGAATGATTCTTTGTAGTTTTTACATGAAGATATTTCGTTGTCAACCGTAGGCTTCAAAGCACTCAAAGTATTCACTTGGAACTTTTACAAAAAGAGTGTTAGAAAACTGCTCTTTCCAAAGTAAGGTTCAACTCTGTGAGTTGAATGCACACATAACAATCAAGAAGTTTCTGAGAATTCTTCTGTCCTGGTTTATAGGAACAAATCCCGTTTCCAACGAAGGCCTCAAAGACGTTTAAATATCCACTTGCAGACTTCACAAACAGAGGGTTTCCAAACTGCTCTATGAAAAGAAAGGTTAAACTCTGTGAGTTGAACGCACACATCACAAAGTAGTTTCTGAGAATGATACTGTCTAGTTTTTATACGAAGATATTTCCTTTCTACCATTGGCGTCAAAGCGCTAGAATTCTCCACTTGCAAATTCCACAAAAAGAGTGTTTCCAATCTGCTCTGTCTAAAGGAAGGTTCAACTCTGTGAGTTGAATACACACACACAAAGAAGCTACTGAGAATTCTTTTTTCAAGAAATTATAAGAAGAAATCCCGTTTCCAACGAAGGTCTCAAAGAGTTCCAAATATCCACTTGCACACTGCACAAACTAAGTCTTTCCAAACTGCTCTATGCAAAGAAATGTTCAACTCTGTGAGTTTAATACACACATCACAAAGCAGTTTCTGAGAATGATACTGTCTAGTTTTTATACGAAGATATTTCCTTTTGTACCATTGGCCTCATACTGCTAGAATTTTCCACTTGCAAATTCCACAAAAAGAGTGTTTCCAATCCGCTCTGTCTAAAGGAAGGTTCAACTCTCTGATTTGAATACATACATCCCAAAAGAAGTTACTGAGAATTCTTCTGTCTAGCATTATGTGAAGAAATCCCGTTTCCAACGAAAGCCTCAAAGAGGTCCAAATATCCAGTTGCAGAATTTACAAACTGACTGTTTCCAAACTCATCTATGAAAAGAAAGGTTAAACTCTGGGAGTTGAATGCCCATATCACAAAGTAGTTCCTGAGAATGATTCTGTCTAGTTTTCATACGAAGATATTTCCTTTTCCACCAATGGCCTCAAAGTGCTTGAAATCTCCCCTTGCAAATTCCACAGACAAGTGTTTCAAATCTGCACTGTCTAAAGGAAGGTTCAACCCTGTGAGTTGAATACACACACACAGAAAAAAATTCACTGAGAATTCTATTGTCTATCATTACACGAAGAAATCCCGTTTACTACGAAGGCCTCAAAGAGGTCCAAATATCCAGCTGCAGACATTACAACCTGAGTGTTTCCAAAGTGCTCTATGAAAAGAAGTGTTAAACACTGTGAGTTCAATGCACACATCCCAAAGCAGTTTCTGAGAATGATTCCGTCTATTTTTTCTACGAAGATATTTCCTTTTCTACCGTTGGCCTCAAAGCGCTTGAAATCTCCACTTGCAAATTCCACAAAAAGAGAGTTTCAAATCTGCTCTGTCTAAAGGAAGGTTCAACTCTGTGAGTTGAATACACACCACAAAAAGAAGTTACTGAGAATTCTTCTGTCTAGCATTATATGAAAAATCCCGTTTCCAACGAAGGCCACAAAGAGGTCCAAATATCCACTTGCAGATTCTGCAAAAAGAGTGTTTCCAAACTGCTCTATGAAAAGAAACGTTAAACTCTGTGAGTTGAACGCAAACATCACAAAGTAGTTTCTGAGAATGACTCCGTCTAGTTTTTATACGAAGATATTTCCTTTTCTACCATTCACTTCAAAGCGCTTGAAGTCTCCCCCTGAAAATTCCACAAAAAGTGTTTCCAATCTGCTCCGCCTAAAGGAAGCTTCAACTCTGTGAGTTGAATACCCACAACCCAAAGAAGTTACTGAGAATTCTTCTGTCTAGCACTATATGAAGAAATCCCGTTTCCAACGAAGGCCTCAAATACATCCAAATATCCAGTTGCTGACTTTACAAACTGAGTGTTTCCAAACTGCTCTATGAAAAGAAAGGTTAAACACTGTGAGTTGAACACACACGTACCAAAGTAGTTTCTGAGAATGATTCTGTCTAGTTTGCATACGAAGATATTTCCTTTTCTACCATTGGCCTCAAAGCTCTGAAATCTCCACTTGCAAATTCCACAAAAAGAGAGTTTCAAATCTGCTGTTTCTAAAGGAAAGTTCAACTCTGAGAGTTGAATACACACCAGAAAAAGCAGTTACTGAGAAGTCTTCTGTCTAGCATTATATGAAGAAATCCCATTTCCAACGAAGACTTCAAAGAGGTCCAAATATCCACTTGCAGATTCTGCAAAAAGAGTGTTTCGAAACAACTGTATGAAAAGAAAGGTTAAACACTGTGAGTTGAACGCACACATTGCAAAGCGGTTTCTGAGAATGATTCCGTCTAATTATTATACGAAGGTATTTCCTTTTCTATCATTGGCCTCAAAGCGCTTGATACCTCCACCTGAAAATTCCACAAAAAGAGTGTTTCCAATCTACTCTGTCTAAAGGAACGTTCAACTCTGTGAGTTGAATACACACACACAGAAAGAATTCACTGAGAATTCTTCTGTCTGGCATTACATGAAGAAATCCCGTTTCCAACGAAGGCCTCAAAGAGGTCCAAATATCCACTTGCATATTCTGCAAAAAGAGTGTTTCAAAACCGCTCCATTAAAAGGAATGTTGAACTCTGTGAGTTGAATGCAAACATCACAACTCAGTTTCTGAGAATGCTTCTGACTAGATTTTATGGTAAGATATTTCCTTTTCTACCGTAGGCTTCAATGCCCTCTAAATACACCCTTGCAAATTCTACAAAGAGACTGTTTCATAACTGCTCTATAGGAGGAAAGGTTCAACTCTGTGAGTTGAATACAGAGATCACAACGTGGTTTCTGCGAATGATTCTTTGTAGTTTTTACAGGAAGATATTTCGTTGTCAACCGTAGGCTTCAAAGCACTCAAAGTATTCACTTGGAACTTTTCCAAAAAGAGTGTTAGAAAACTGCTCTTTCCAAAGTAAGGTTCAACTCTGTGAGTTGAATGCACACATAACAATCAAGAAGTTTCTGAGAATTCTTCTGTCCTGGTTTATATGAAAAAATCCCGTTTCCAACGAAGGCCTCAAAGACGTTTAAATATCCACTTGCAGACTTCACAAACAGAGGGTTTCCAAACTGCTCTATGAAAAGAAAGGTTAAACTCTGTGAGTTGAACGCACACATCACAAAGTAGCTTCTGAGAATGATACTGTCTAGTTTTTATACGAAGATATTTCCTTTCTACCATTGGCGTCAAAGCGCTAGAATTCTCCACTTGCAAATTCCACAAAAAGAGTGTTTCCAATCTGCTCTGTCTAAAGGAAGGTTCAACTCTGTGAGTTGAATACACACACACAAAGAAGCTACTGAGAATTCTTTTGTCAAGAAATTATAAGAAGAAATCCGGTTTCCAACGAAGGCCTCAAAGAGTTCCAAATATCCACTTGCACACTGCACAAACTAAGTCTTTCCAAACTGTTCTATGCAAAGAAATGTTCAACTTCTGTGAGTTTAATACACACATCACAAAGCAGTTTCTGAGAATGATATCCCTCTAGATTTTATACAAAGATAGCCTTTTCTACCATTGGCCTCAAGGCTCTTGGAATCTCCACCTGAAAATTCCGCAAAAAGCGTGTTTCCAATGCGCTCTGTCTAAAGGAAGGTTCAACTCTCTGAGTTGAATACATACATCCCAAAAGAAGTTACTGCGAATTCTTCTGTCTAGCATTATGTGAAGAAATCCCGTTTCCAACGAAAGCCTCAAAGAGGTCCTAATATCCAGTTGCAGAATTTACAAACTGACTGTTTCCAAACTCATCTATGAAAAGAAAGGTTAAACCCTGTGAGTTGAATGCACATATCACAAAGTAGTTCCTGAGAATGATTCTGTCTAGTTTTCATACGAAGATATTTCCTTTTCCACCAATGGCCTCAAAGTGCTTGAAATCTCCCCTTGCAAATTCCACAGACAAGTGTTTCAAATCTGCACTGTCTAAAGGAAGGTTCAACCCTGTGAGTTGAATACACACACACAGAAAAAAATTCACTGAGAATTCTATTGTCTATCATTACACGAAGAAATCCCGTTTACCACGAAGGCCTCAAAGAGGTCCAAATATCCAGCTGCAGACATTACAAACTGAGTGTTTCCAAAGTGCTCTATGAAAAGAAGTGTTAAACACTGTGAGTTCAATGCACACATCCCAAAGCAGTTTCTGAGAATGATTCCGTCTATTTTTTCTACGAAGATATTTCCTTTTCTGCCGTTGGCCTCAAAGCGCTTGAAATCTCCACTTGCAAATTCCACAAAAAGAGAGTTTCAAATCTGCTCTGTCTAAAGGAAGGTTCAACTCTGTGAGTTGAATACACACCACAAAAAGAAGTTACTGAGAATTCTTCTGTCTAGCATTATATGAAAAATCCCGTTTCCAACGAAGGCCACAAAGAGGTCCAAATATCCACTTGCAGATTCTGCAAAAAGAGTGTTTCCAAACTGCTCTATGAAAAGAAACGTTAAACTCTGTGAGTTGAACGCAAACATCACAAAGTAGTTTCTGAGAATGACTCCGTCTAGTTTTTATACGAAGATATTTCCTTTCCTACCATTCACTTCAAAGCGCTTGAAGTCTCCCCCTGAAAATTCCACAAAAAGTGTTTCCAATCTGCTCCGCCTAAAGGAAGCTTCAACTCTGTGACTTGAATACCCACAACCCAAAGAAGTTACTGAGAATTCTTCTGTCTAGCATTATATGAAGAAATCCCGTTTCCAACGAAGGCCTCAAATACATCCAAATATCCAGTTGCTGACTTTACAAACTGAGTGTTTCCAAACTGCTCTATGAAAAGAAAGGTTAAACACTTGTGAGTTGAACACACACGTACCAAAGTAGTTTCTGAGAATGATTCTGTCTAGTTTGCATACGAAGATATTTCCTTTTCTACCATTGGCCTCAAAGCTCTGAAATCTCCACTTGCAAATTCCACAAAAAGAGAGTTTCAAATCTGCTGTTTCTAAAGGAAAGTTCAACTCTGAGAGTTGAATACACACCAGAAAAAGCAGTTACTGAGAAGTCTTCTGTCTAGCATTATATGAAGAAATCCCATTTCCAACGAAGACTTCAAAGAGGTCCAAATATCCACTTGCAGATTCTGCAAAAAGAGTGTTTCGAAACAACTGTATGAAAAGAAAGGTTAAACACTGTGAGTTGAACGCACACATTGCAAAGCAGTTTCTGAGAATGATTCCGTCTAATTATTATACGAAGGTATTTCCTTTTCTATCATTGGCCTCAAAGCGCTTGATACCTCCACCTGAAAATTCCACAAAAAGAGTGTTTCCAATCTACTCTGTCTAAAGGAACGTTCAACTCTGTGAGTTGAATACACACACACAGAAAGAATTCACTGAGAATTCTTCTGTCTGGCATTACATGAAGAAATCCCGTTTCCAACGAAGGCCTCAAAGAGGTCCAAATATCCACTTGCAGATTCTGCAAAAAGAGTGTTTCAAAACCGCTCCATTAAAAGGAATGTTGAACTCTGTGAGTTGAATGCAAACATCACAACTCAGTTTCTGAGAATGCTTCTGACTAGATTTTATGGTAAGATATTTCCTTTTCTACCGTAGGCTTCAATGCACTGTAAATACACCCTTGCAAATTCAACAAAGAGACTGTTTCATAACTGCTCTATAGGAGGAAAGGTTCAACTCTGTGAGTTGAAAGCAGAGATCACAACGTGGTTTCTGCGAATGATTCTTTGTAGTTTTTACATGAAGATATTTCGTTGTCTACCGTAGGCTTCAAAGCACTCAAAGTATTCACTTGGAACTTTCACAAAAAGAGTGTTAGAAAACTGCTCTTTCCAAAGTAAGGTTCAACTCTGTGAGTTGAATGCACACATAACAAACAAGAAGTTTCTGAGAATTCTTCTGTCCTGGTTTATATGAAGAAATCCCGTTTCCAACGAAGGCCTCAAAGACGTTTAAATATCCACTTGCAGACTTCACAAACAGAGTGTTTCCAAACTGCTCTATGAAAAGAAAGGGTAAACACTGTGAGTTGAACGCACACCTCACAAAGTAGTTTCTGAGAATGATACTGTCTAGTTTTTATACGGAGATATTTCCTTTCCTTCCATTTGCGTCAAAGCGCTAGAATTCTCCACTTGCAAATTCCACAAAAAGAGTGTTTCCAATCTGCTCTGTCTAAAGGAAGGTTCAACTCTGTGAGTTGAATACACACACACAAAGAAGCTACTGAGAATTCTTTTGTCAAGAATTATAAGAAGAAATCCCGTTTCCAACGAAGGCCTCAAAGAGTTCCAAATATCCACTTGCACACTGCAAAAACTAAGTCTTTCCAAACTGCTCTATGCAAAGAAATGTTCAACTCTGTGAGTTTAATTCACACATCACAAAGCAGTTTCTGAGAATGATACTGTCTAGTTTTTATACGAAGATATTTCCTTTTGTACCATTGGCCTCATACTGCTAGAATTTTCCACTTGCAAATTCCACAAAAAGAGTGTTTCCAATCCGCTCTGTCTAAAGGAAGGTTCAACTCTCTGATTTGAATACATACATCCCAAAAGAAGTTACTGAGAATTCTTCTGTCTAGCATTATGTGAAGAAATCCCGTTTCCAACGAAAGCCTCAAAGAGGTCCAAATATCCAGTTGCAGAATTTACAAACTGACTGTTTCCAAACTCATCTATGAAAAGAAAGGTTAAACTCTGTGAGTTGAATGCACATATCACAAAGTAGTTCCTGAGAATGATTCTGTCTAGTTTTCATACGAAGATATTTCCTTTTCCACCAATGGCCTCAAAGTGCTTGAAATCTCCCCTTGCAAATTCCACAGACAAGTGTTTCAAATCTGCACTGTCTAAAGGAAGGTTCAACCCTGTGAGTTGAATACACACACACAGAAACAAATTCACTGAGAATTCTATTGTCTATCATTACACGAAGAAATCCCGTTTACTACGAAGGCCTCAAAGAGGTCCAAATATCCAGCTGCAGACATTACAAACTGAGTGTTTCCAAAGTGCTCTATGAAAAGAAGTGTTAAACACTGTGAGTTCAATGCACACATCCCAAAGCAGTTTCTGAGAATGATTCCGTCTATTTTTTCTACGAAGATATTTCCTTTTCTGCCGTTGGCCTCAAAGCGCTTGAAATCTCCACTTGCAAATTCCACAAAAAGAGAGTTTCAAATCTGCTCTGTCTAAAGGAAGGTTCAACTCTGTGAGTTGAATACACACCACAAAAAGAAGTTACTGAGAATTCTTCTGTCTAGCATTATATGAAAAATCCCGTTTCCAACGAAGGCCACAAAGAGGTCCAAATATCCACTTGCAGATTCTGCAAAAAGAGTGTTTCCAAACTGCTCTATGAAAAGAAACGTTAAACTCTGTGAGTTGAACGCAAACATCACAAAGTAGTTTCTGAGAATGACTCCGTCTAGTTTTTATACGAAGATATTTCCTTTCCTACCATTCACTTCAAAGCGCTTGAAGTCTCCCCCTGAAAATTCCACAAAAAGTGTTTCCAATCTGCTCCGCCTAAAGGAAGCTTCAACTCTGTGACTTGAATACCCACAACCCAAAGAAGTTACTGAGAATTCTTCTGTCTAGCATTATATGAAGAAATCCCGTTTCCAACGAAGGCCTCAAATACATCCAAATATCCAGTTGCTGACTTTACAAACTGAGTGTTTCCAAACTGCTCTATGAAAAGAAAGGTTAAACACTGTGAGTTGAACACACACGTACCAAAGTAGTTTCTGAGAATGATTCTGTCTAGTTTGCATACGAAGATATTTCCTTTTCTACCATTGGCCTCAAAGCTCTGAAATCTCCACTTGCAAATTCCACAAAAAGAGAGTTTCAAATCTGCTGTTTCTAAAGGAAAGTTCAACTCTGAGAGTTGAATACACACCAGAAAAAGCAGTTACTGAGAAGTCTTCTGTCTAGCATTATATGAAGAAATCCCATTTCCAACGAAGACTTCAAAGAGGTCCAAATATCCACTTGCAGATTCTGCAAAAAGAGTGTTTCGAAACAACTGTATGAAAAGAAAGGTTAAACACTGTGAGTTGAACGCACACATTGCAAAGCGGTTTCTGAGAATGATTCCGTCTAATTATTATACGAAGGTATTTCCTTTTCTATCATTGGCCTCAAAGCGCTTGATACCTCCACCTGAAAATTCCACAAAAAGAGTGTTTCCAATCTACTCTGTCTAAAGGAACGTTCAACTCTGTGAGTTGAATACACACACACAGAAAGAATTCACTGAGAATTCTTCTGTCTGGCATTACATGAAGAAATCCCGTTTCCAACGAAGGCCTCAAAGAGGTCCAAATATCCACTTGCAGATTCTGCAAAAAGAGTGTTTCAAAACCGCTCCATTAAAAGGAATGTTGAACTCTGTGAGTTGAATGCAAACATCACAACTCAGTTTCTGAGAATGCTTCTGACTAGATTTTATGGTAAGATATTTCCTTTTCTACCGTAGGCTTCAATGCCCTCTAAATACACCCTTGCAAATTCTACAAAGAGACTGTTTCATAACTGCTCTATAGGAAGAAAGGTTGAACTCTGTGAGTTGAATGCAGAGATCACAACGTGGTTTCTGCGAATGATTCTTTGTAGTTTTTACATGAAGATATTTCGTTGTCAACCGTAGGCTTCAAAGCACTCAAAGTATTCACTTGGAACTTTTACAAAAAGAGTGTTAGAAAACTGCTCTTTCCAAAGTAAGGTTCAACTCTGTGAGTTGAATGCACACATAACAATCAAGAAGTTTCTGAGAATTCTTCTGTCCTGGTTTATATGAAGAAATCCCGTTTCCAACGAAGGCCTCAAAGACGTTTAAATATCCACTTGCAGACTTCACAAACAGAGTGTTTCCAAACTGCTCTATGAAAAGAAAGGTTAAACTACTGTGAGTTGAACGCACACATCACAAAGTAGTTTACTGAGAATGATAACTGTCTAGTTTTTATACGAAGATATTTCCTGTCTACCATTGGCGTCAAAGCGCTAGAATTCTCCACTTGCAAATTCCACAAAAAGAGTGTTTCCAATCTGCTCTGTCTAAAGGAAGGTTCAACTCTGTGAGTTGAATACACACACACAAAGAAGCTACTGAGAATTCTTTTGTCAAGAATTATAAGAAGAAATCCCGTTTCCAACGAAGGCCTCAAAGAGTTCCAAATATCCACTTGCACACTGCACAAACTAAGTCTTTCCAAACTGCTCTATGCAAAGAAATGTTCAACTCTGTGAGTTTAATACACACATCACAAAGCAGTTTCTGAGAATGATACTGTCTAGTTTTTATACGAAGATATTTCCTTTTGTACCATTGGCCTCATACTGCTAGAATTTTCCACTTGCAAATTCCACAAAAAGAGTGTTTCCAATCCGCTCTGTCTAAAGGAAGGTTCAACTCTCTGATTTGAATACATACATCCCAAAAGAAGTTACTGAGAATTCTTCTGTCTAGCATTATGTGAAGAAATCCCGTTTCCAACGAAAGCCTCAAAGAGGTCCAAATATCCAGTTGCAGAATTTACAAACTGACTGTTTCCAAACTCATCTATGAAAAGAAAGGTTAAACTCTGGGAGTTGAATGCACATATCACAAAGTAGTTCCTGAGAATGATTCTGTCTAGTTTTCATACGAAGATATTTCCTTTTCCACCAATGGCCTCAAAGTGCTTGAAATCTCCCCTTGCAAATTCCACAGACAAGTGTTTCAAATCTGCACTGTCTAAAGGAAGGTTCAACCCTGTGAGTTGAATACACACACACAGAAAAAAATTCACTGAGAATTCTATTGTCTATCATTACACGAAGAAATCCCGTTTACTACGAAGGCCTCAAAGAGGTCCAAATATCTAGCTGCAGACATTACAAACTGAGTGTTTCCAAAGTGCTCTATGAAAAGAAGTGTTAAACACTGTGAGTTCAATGCACACATCCCAAAGCAGTTTCTGAGAATGATTCCGTCTATTTTTTCTACGAAGATATTTCCTTTTCTACCGTTGGCCTCAAAGCGCTTGAAATCTCCACTTGCAAATTCCACA
Source organism: Homo sapiens (assembly GCF_000001405.40). Lineage (NCBI taxonomy): Eukaryota > Metazoa > Chordata > Mammalia > Primates > Hominidae > Homo > Homo sapiens. The sequence continues at coordinate 93,572,818 of NC_000003.12, read as the reverse complement.
AAAAGAGAGTTTCAAATCTGCTCTGTCTAAAGGAAGGTTCAACTCTGTGAGTTGAATACACACCACAAAAAGAAGTTACTGAGAATTCTTCTGTCTAGCATTATATGAAAAATCCCGTTTCCAACGAAGGCCACAAAGAGGTCCAAATATCCACTTGCAGATTCTGCAAAAAGAGTGTTTCCAAACTGCTCTATGAAAAGAAACGTTAAACTCTGTGAGTTGAACGCAAACATCACAAAGTAGTTTCTGAGAATGACTCCGTCTAGTTTTTATACGAAGATATTTCCTTTCCTACCATTCACTTCAAAGCGCTTGAAGTCTCCCCCTGAAAATTCCACAAAAAGTGTTTCCAATCTGCTCCGCTAAAGGAAGCTTCAACTCTGTGAGTTGAATACCCACAACCCAAAGAAGTTACTGAGAATTCTTCTGTCTAGCACTATATGAAGAAATCCCGTTTCCAACGAAGGCCTCAAATACATCCAAATATCCAGTTGCTGACTTTACAAACTGAGTGTTTCCAAACTGCTCTATGAAAAGAAAGGTTAAACACTGTGAGTTGAACACACACGTACCAAAGTAGTTTCTGAGAATGATTCTGTCTAGTTTGCATACGAAGATATTTCCTTTTCTACCATTGGCCTCAAAGCTCTGAAATCTCCACTTGCAAATTCCACAAAAAGAGAGTTTCAAATCTGCTGTTTCTAAAGGAAAGTTCAACTCTGAGAGTTGAATACACACCAGAAAAAGCAGTTACTGAGAAGTCTTCTGTCTAGCATTATATGAAGAAATCCCATTTCCAACGAAGACTTCAAAGAGGTCCAAATATCCACTTGCAGATTCTGCAAAAAGAGTGTTTCGAAACAACTGTATGAAAAGAAAGGTTAAACACTGTGAGTTGAACGCACACATTGCAAAGCAGTTTCTGAGAATGATTCCGTCTAATTATTATACGAAGGTATTTCCTTTTCTATCATTGGCCTCAAAGCGCTTGATACCTCCACCTGAAAATTCCACAAAAAGAGTGTTTCCAATCTACTCTGTCTAAAGGAACGTTCAACTCTGTGAGTTGAATACACACACACAGAAAGAATTCACTGAGAATTCTTCTGTCTGGCATTACATGAAGAAATCCCGTTTCCAACGAAGGCCTCAAAGAGGTCCAAATATACACTTGCAGTTTCTGCAAAAAGAGTGTTTCAATACCGCTCTATTAAAAGGAATGTGGAACTCTGTGAGTTGAATGCAAACATCACAACACAGTTTCTGAGAATGCTTCTGACTAGATTTTATGGTCAGATATTTCCTTTTCTACCGTAGGCTTCAATGCCCTCTAAATACACCCTTGCAAATTCTACAAAGAGACTGTTTAATAACTGCTCTATAGGAAGAAAGGTTGAACACTGTGAGTTGAATGCAGAGATCACAACGTGGTTTCTGCGAATGATTCTTTGTAGTTTTTACATGAAGATATTTCGTTGTCTACTGTAGGCTTCAAAGCACTCAAAGTATTCACTTGGAACTTTTACAAAAAGAGTGTTAGGAAACTGCTCTTTCCAAAGTAAGGTTCAACTCTGTGAGTTGAATGCACACATAACAAACAAGAAGTTTCTGAGGATTCTTCTGTCCTGGTTTATATGAAAAAATCCCGTTTCCAACGAAGGCCTCAAAGACGTTTAAATATCCACTTGCAGACTTCACAAACAGAGTGTTTCCAAACTGCTCTATGAAAAGAAAGGTTAAACTCTGTGAGTTGAACGCACACATCACAAAGTAGTTTCTGAGAATGATACTGTCTAGTTTTTATACGAAGATATTTCCTTTCTACCATTGGCGTCAAAGCGCTAGAATTCTCCACTTGCAAATTCCACAAAAAGAGTGTTTCCAATCTGCTCTGTCTAAAGGAAGGTTCAACTCTGTGAGTTGAATACACACACACAAAGAAGCTACTGAGAATTCTTTTGTCAAGAATTATAAGAAGAAATCCCGTTTCCAACGAAGGCCTCAAAGAGTTCCAAATATCCACTTGCACACTGCACAAACTAAGTCTTTCCAAACTGCTCTATGCAAAGAAATGTTCAACTCTGTGAGTTTAATACACACATCACAAAGCAGTTTCTGAGAATGATACTGTCTAGTTTTTATACGAAGATATTTCCTTTTGTACCATTGGCCTCATACTGCTAGAATTTTCCACTTGCAAATTCCACAAAAAGAGTGTTTCCAATCCGCTCTGTCTAAAGGAAGGTTCAACTCTCTGATTTGAATACATACATCCCAAAAGAAGTTACTGAGAATTCTTCTGTCTAGCATTATGTGAAGAAATCCCGTTTCCAACGAAAGCCTCAAAGAGGTCCAAATATCCAGTTGCAGAATTTACAAACTGACTGTTTCCAAACTCATCTATGAAAAGAAAGGTTAAACTCTGTGAGTTGAATGCACATATCACAAAGTAGTTCCTGAGAATGATTCTGTCTAGTTTTTATACGAAGATATTTCCTTTTCCACCAATGGCCTCAAAGTGCTTGAAATCTCCCCTTGCAAATTCCACAGACAAGTGTCTCAAATCTGCACTGTCTAAAGGAAGGTTCAACCCTGTGAGTTGAATACACACACACAGAAAAAAATTCACTGAGAATTCTATTGTCTATCATTACACGAAGAAATCCCGTTTACTACGAAGGCCTCAAAGAGGTCCAAATATCCAGCTGCAGACATTACAAACTGAGTGTTTCCAAAGTGCTCTATGAAAAGAAGTGTTAAACACTGTGAGTTCAATGCACACATCCCAAAGCAGTTTCTGAGAATGATTCCGTCTATTTTTTCTACGAAGATATTTCCTTTTCTGCCGTTGGCCTCAAAGCGCTTGAAATCTCCACTTGCAAATTCCACAAAAAGAGAGTTTCAAATCTGCTCTGTCTAAAGGAAGGTTCAACTCTGTGAGTTGAATACACACCACAAAAAGAAGTTACTGAGAATTCTTCTGTCTAGCATTATATGAAAAATCCCGTTTCCAACGAAGGCCACAAAGAGGTCCAAATATCCACTTGCAGATTCTGCAAAAAGAGTGTTTCCAAACTGCTCTATGAAAAGAAACGTTAAACTCTGTGAGTTGAACGCAAACATCACAAAGTAGTTTCTGAGAATGACTCCGTCTAGTTTTTATACGAAGATATTTCCTTTTCTACCATTCACTTCAAAGCGCTTGAAGTCTCACCCTGAAAATTCCACAAAAAGTGTTTCCAATCTGCTCCGCCTAAAGGAAGCTTCAACTCTGTGAGTTGAATACCCACAACCCAAAGAAGTTACTGAGAATTCTTCTGTCTAGCACTATATGAAGAAATCCCGTTTCCAACGAAGGCCTCAAATACATCCAAATATCCAGTTGCTGACTTTACAAACTGAGTGTTTCCAAACTGCTCTATGAAAAGAAAGGTTAAACACTGTGAGTTGAACACACACGTACCAAAGTAGTTTCTGAGAATGATTCTGTCTAGTTTGCATACGAAGATATTTCCTTTTCTACCATTGGCCTCAAAGCTTTGAAATCTCCACTTGCAAATTCCACAAAAAGAGAGTTTCAACTCTGCTGTTTGCTAAAGGAAAGTTCAACTCTGAGAGTTGAATACACACCAGAAAAAGCAGTTACTGAGAAGTCTTCTGTCTAGCATTATATGAAGAAATCCCATTTCCAAAGAAGACTTCAAACAGGTCCAAATATCCACTTGCAGATTCTGCAAAAAGAGTGTTTTGAAACAACTGTATGAAAAGAAAGGTTAAACACTGTGAGTTGAACGCACCCATTGCAAAGCATTTTCTGAGAATGATTCCGTCTAATTATTATACGAAGGTATTTCCTTTTCTATCATTGGTCTCAAAGCGCTTGATACCTCCACCTGAAAATTCCACAAAAAGAGTGTTTCCAATCTACTCTGTCTAAAGGAACGTTCAACTCTGTGAGTTGAATACACACACACAGAAAGAATTCACTGAGAATTCTTCTGTCTGGCATTACATGAAGAAATCCCGTTTCCAACGAAGACCTCAAAGAGGTCCAAATATCCACTTGCAGATTCTGCAAAAAGAGTGTTTCAAAACCGCTCCATTAAAAGGAATGTTGAACGCTGTGAGTTGAATGCAAACATCACAACTCAGTTTCCTGAGAATGCTTCTGACTAGATTTTATGGTAAGATATTTCCTTTTCTACCGTAGGCTTCAATGCCCTCTAAATACACCCTTGCAAATTCTACAAAGAGACTGTTTCATAACTGCTCAATAGGAAGAAAGGTTCAACTCTGTGAGTTGAATGCAGAGATCACAACGTGGTTTCTGCGAATGATTCTTTGTAGTTTTTACATGAAGATATTTCGTTGTCAACCGTAGGCTTCAAAGCACTCAAAGTATTCACTTGGAACTTTTACAAAAAGAGTGTTAGAAAACTGCTCTTTCCAAAGTAAGGTTCAACTCTGTGAGTTGAATGCACACATAACAATCAAGAAGTTTCTGAGAATTCTTCTGTCCTGGTTTATATGAAAAAATCCCGTTTCCAACGAAGGCCTCAAAGACGTTTAAATATCCACTTGCAGACTTCACAAACAGAGGGTTTCCAAACTGCTCTATGAAAAGAAAGGTTAAACTCTGTGAGTTGAACGCACACATCACAAAGTAGCTTCTGAGAATGATAATGTCTAGTTTTTATACGAAGATATTTCCTTTCTACCATTGGCGTCAAAGTGCTAGAATTCTCCACTTGCAAATTCCACAAAAAGAGTGTTTCCAATCTGCTCTGTCTAAAGGAAGGTTCAACTCTGTGAGTTGAATACACACACACAAAGAAGCTACTGAGAATTCTTTTTTCAAGAAATTATAAGAAGAAATCCCGTTTCCAACGAAGGCCTCAAAGAGTTCCAAATATCCACTTGCACACTGCACAAACTAAGTCTTTCCAAACTGCTCTATGCAAAGAAATGTTCAACTCTGTGAGTTTAATACACACATCACAAAGCAGTTTCTGAGAATGATTCCCTCTAGTTTTTATACGAAGATAGCCTTTTCTACCATTGGTCTCAAGGCTCTTGGAATCTCCACCTGAAAATTCCGCAAAAAGCGTGTTTCCTATGCGCTCTGTCTAAAGGAAGGTTCAACTCTCTGAGTTGAATACATACATCCCAAAAGAAGTTACTGCGAATTCTTCTGTCTAGCATTATGTGAAGAAATCCCGTTTCCAACGAAAGCCTCAAAGAGGTCCAAATATCCAGTTGCAGAATTTACAAACTGACTGTTTCCAAACTCATCTATGAAAAGAAAGGTTAAACTCTGTGAGTTGAATGCACATATCACAAAGTAGTTCCTGAGAATGATTCTGTCTAGTTTTTATACGAAGATATTTCCTTTTCCACCAATGGCCTCAAAGTGCTTGAAATCTCCCCTTGCAAATTCCACAGACAAGTGTCTCAAATCTGCACTGTCTAAAGGAAGGTTCAACCCTGTGAGTTGAATACACACACACAGAAAAAAATTCACTGAGAATTCTATTGTCTATCATTACACGAAGAAATCCCGTTTACTACGAAGGCCTCAAAGAGGTCCAAATATCCAGCTGCAGACATTACAAACTGAGTGTTTCCAAAGTGCTCTATGAAAAGAAGTGTTAAACACTGTGAGTTCAATGCACACATCCCAAAGCAGTTTCTGAGAATGATTCCGTCTATTTTTTCTACGAAGATATTTCCTTTTCTGCCGTTGGCCTCAAAGCGCTTGAAATCTCCACTTGCAAATTCCACAAAAAGAGAGTTTCAAATCTGCTCTGTCTAAAGGAAGGTTCAACTCTGTGAGTTGAATACACACCACAAAAAGAAGTTACTGAGAATTCTTCTGTCTAGCATTATATGAAAAATCCCGTTTCCAACGAAGGCCACAAAGAGGTCCAAATATCCACTTGCAGATTCTGCAAAAAGAGTGTTTCCAAACTGCTCTATGAAAAGAAACGTTAAACTCTGTGAGTTGAACGCAAACATCACAAAGTAGTTTCTGAGAATGACTCCGTCTAGTTTTTATACGAAGATATTTCCTTTTCTACCATTCACTTCAAAGCGCTTGAAGTCTCCCCCTGAAAATTCCACAAAAAGTGTTTCCAATCTGCTCCGCCTAAAGGAAGCTTCAACTCTGTGAGTTGAATACCCACAACCCAAAGAAGTTACTGAGAATTCTTCTGTCTAGCATTATATGAAGAAATCCCGTTTCCAACGAAGGCCTCAAATACATCCAAATATCCAGTTGCTGACTTTACAAACTGAGTGTTTCCAAACTGCTCTATGAAAAGAAAGGTTAAACACTGTGAGTTGAACACACACGTACCAAAGTAGTTTCTGAGAATGATTCTGTCTAGTTTGCATACGAAGATATTTCCTTTTCTACCATTGGCCTCAAAGCTCTGAAATCTCCACTTGCAAATTCCACAAAAAGAGAGTTTCAAATCTGCTGTTTCTAAAGGAAAGTTCAACTCTGAGAGTTGAATACACACCAGAAAAAGCAGTTACTGAGAAGTCTTCTGTCTAGCATTATATGAAGAAATCCCATTTCCAACGAAGACTTCAAAGAGGTCCAAATATCCACTTGCAGATTCTGCAAAAAGAGTGTTTCGAAACAACTGTATGAAAAGAAAGGTTAAACACTGTGAGTTGAACGCACACATTGCAAAGCGGTTTCTGAGAATGATTCCGTCTAATTATTATACGAAGGTATTTCCTTTTCTATCATTGGCCTCAAAGCGCTTGATACCTCCACCTGAAAATTCCACAAAAAGAGTGTTTCCAATCTACTCTGTCTAAAGGAACGTTCAACTCTGTGAGTTGAATACACACACACAGAAAGAATTCACTGAGAATTCTTCTGTCTGGCATTACATGAAGAAATCCCGTTTCCAACGAAGGCCTCAAAGAGGTCCAAATATCCACTTGCAGATTCTGCAAAAAGAGTGTTTCAAAACCGCTCCATTAAAAGGAATGTTGAACTCTGTGAGTTGAATGCAAACATCACAACTCAGTTTCTGAGAATGCTTCTGAGTAGATTTTATGGTAAGATATTTCCTTTTCTACCGTAGGCTTCAATGCCCTGTAAATACACCCTTGCAAATTCTACAAAGAGACTGTTTCATAACTGCTCTATAGGAGGAAAGGTTCAACTCTGTGAGTTGAATGCAGAGATCACAACGTGGTTTCTGCGAATGATTCTTTGTAGTTTTTACATGAAGATATTTCGTTGTCAACCGTAGGCTTCAAAGCACTCAAAGTATTCACTTGGAACTTTTACAAAAAGAGTGTTAGAAAACTGCTCTTTCCAAAGTAAGGTTCAACTCTGTGAGTTGAATGCACACATAACAATCAAGAAGTTTCTGAGAATTCTTCTGTCCTGGTTTATAGGAAAAAATCCCGTTTCCAACGAAGGCCTCAAAGACGTTTAAATATCCACTTGCAGACTTCACAAACAGAGTGTTTCCAAACTGCTCTATGAAAAGAAAGGTTAAACTCTGTGAGTTGAACGCACACATCACAAAGTAGTTTCTGAGAATGATACTGTCTAGTTTTTATACGAAGATATTTCCTTTCTACCATTGGCGTCAAAGCGCTAGAATTCTCCACTTGCAAATTCCACAAAAAGAGTGTTTCCAATCTGCTCTGTCTAAAGGAAGGTTCAACTCTGTGAGTTGAATACACACACACAAAGAAGCTACTGAGAATTCTTTTGTCAAGAAATATAAGAAGAAATCCCGTTTCCAACGAAGGCCTCAAAGAGTTCCAAATATCCACTTGCACACTGCACAAACTAAGTCTTTCCAAACTGCTCTATGCAAAGAAATGTTCAACTCTGTGAGTTTAATACACACATCACAAAGCAGTTTCTGAGAATGATACTGTCTAGTTTTTATACGAAGATATTTCCTTTTGTACCATTGGCCTCATACTGCTAGAATTTTCCACTTGCAAATTCCACAAAAAGAGTGTTTCCAATCCGCTCTGTCTAAAGGAAGGTTCAACTCTCTGATTTGAATACATACATCCCAAAAGAAGTTACTGAGAATTCTTGTCTAGCATTATGTGAAGAAATCCCGTTTCCAACGAAAGCCTCAAAGAGGTCCAAATATCCAGTTGCAGAATTTACAAACTGACTGTTTCCAAACTCATCTATGAAAAGAAAGGTTAAACTCTGTGAGTTGAATGCACATATCACAAAGTAGTTCCTGAGAATGATTCTGTCTAGTTTTCATACGAAGATATTTCCTTTTCCACCAATGGCCTCAAAGTGCTTGAAATCTCCCCTTGCAAATTCCACAGACAAGTGTTTCAAATCTGCACTGTCTAAAGGAAGGTTCAACCCTGTGAGTTGAATACACACACACAGAAAAAAATTCACTGAGAATTCTATTGTCTATCATTACACGAAGAAATCCCGTTTACCACGAAGGCCTCAAAGAGGTCCAAATATCCAGCTGCAGACATTACAAACTGAGTGTTTCCAAAGTGCTCTATGAAAAGAAGTGTTAAACACTGTGAGTTCAATGCACACATCCCAAAGCAGTTTCTGAGAATGATTCCGTCTATTTTTTCTACGAAGATATTTCCTTTTCTGCCGTTGGCCTCAAAGCGCTTGAAATCTCCACTTGCAAATTCCACAAAAAGAGAGTTTCAAATCTGCTCTGTCTAAAGGAAGGTTCAACTCTGTGAGTTGAATACACACCACAAAAAGAAGTTACTGAGAATTCTTCTGTCTAGCATTATATGAAAAATCCCGTTTCCAACGAAGGCCACAAAGAGGTCCAAATATCCACTTGCAGATTCTGCAAAAAGAGTGTTTCCAAACTGCTCTATGAAAAGAAACGTTAAACTCTGTGAGTTGAACGCAAACATCACAAAGTAGTTTCTGAGAATGACTCCGTCTAGTTTTTATACGAAGATATTTCCTTTTCTACCATTCACTTCAAAGCGCTTGAAGTCTCCCCCTGAAAATTCCACAAAAAGTGTTTCCAATCTGCTCTGCCTAAAGGAAGCTTCAACTCTGTGAGTTGAATACCCACAACCCAAAGAAGTTACTGAGAATTCTTCTGTCTCGCATTATAGGAAGAAATCCCGTTTCCAACGAAGGCCTCAAATACATCCACATATCCAGTTGCTGACTTTACAAACTGAGTGTTTCCAAACTGCTCTATGAAAAGAAAGGTTAAACACTGTGAGTTGAACACACACGTACCAAAGTAGTTTCTGAGAATGATTCTGTCTAGTTTGCATACGAAGATATTTCCTTTTCTACCATTGGCCTCAAAGCTCTGAAATCTCCACTTGCAAATTCCACAAAAAGAGAGTTTCAAATCTGCTGTTTCTAAAGGAAAGTTCAACTCTGAGAGTTGAATACACACCAGAAAAAGCAGTTACTGAGAAGTCTTCTGTCTAGCATTATATGAAGAAATCCCATTTCCAACGAAGACTTCAAAGAGGTCCAAATATCCACTTGCAGATTCTGCAAAAAGAGTGTTTCGAAACAACTGTATGAAAAGAAAGGTTAAACACTGTGAGTTGAACGCACACATTGCAAAGCAGTTTCTGAGAATGATTCCGTCTAATTATTATACGAAGGTATTTCCTTTTCTATCATTGGCCTCAAAGCGCTTGATACCTCCACCTGAAAATTCCACAAAAAGAGTGTTTCCAATCTACTCTGTCTAAAGGAACGTTCAACTCTGTGAGTTGAATACACACACACAGAAAGAATTCACTGAGAATTCTTCTGTCTGGCATTACATGAAGAAATCCCGTTTCCAACGAAGGCCTCAAAGAGGTCCAAATATCCACTTGCAGATTCTGCAAAAAGAGTGTTTCAAAACCGCTCCATTAAAAGGAATGTTGAACTCTGTGAGTTGAATGCAAACATCACAACTCAGTTTCTGAGAATGCTTCTGACTAGATTTTATGGTAAGATATTTCCTTTTCTACCGTAGGCTTCAATGCCCTCTAAATACACCCTTGCAAATTCTACAAAGAGACTGTTTAATAACTGCTCTATAGGAAGAAAGGTTGAACTCTGTGAGTTGAATGCAGAGATCACAACGTGGTTTCTGCGAATGATTCTTTGTAGTTTTTACATGAAGATATTTCGTTGTCTACCGTAGGCTTCAAAGCACTCAAAGTATTCACTTGGAACTTTTACAAAAAGAGTGTTAGAAAACTGCTCTTTCCAAAGTAAGGTTCAACTCTGTGAGTTGAATGCACACATAACAAACAAGAAGTTTCTGAGAATTCTTCTGTCCTGGTTTATATGAAAAAATCCCGTTTCCAACGAAGGCCTCAAAGACGTTTAAATATCCACTTGCAGACTTCACAAACAGAGGGTTTCCAAACTGCTCTATGAAAAGAAAGGTTAAACTCTGTGAGTTTAATACACACATCACAAAGCAGTTTCTGAGAATGATACTGTCTAGTTTTTATACGAAGATATTTCCTTTCTACCATTGGCGTCAAAGCGCTAGAATTCTCCACTTGCAAATTCCACAAAAAGAGTGTTTCCAATCTGCTCTGTCTAAAGGAAGGTTCAACTCTGTGAGTTGAATACACACACACAAAGAAGCTACTGAGAATTCTTTTGTCAAGAATTATAAGAAGAAATCCCGTTTCCAACGAAGGCCTCAAAGAGTTCCAAATATCCACTTGCACACTGCACAAACTAAGTCTTTCCAAACTGCTCTATGCAAAGAAATGTTCAACTCTGTGAGTTTAATACACACATCACAAAGCAGTTTCTGAGAATGATACTGTCTAGTTTTTATACGAAGATATTTCCTTTTGTACCATTGGCCTCATACTGCTAGAATTTTCCACTTGCAAATTCCACAAAAAGAGTGTTTCCAATCCGCTCTGTCTAAAGGAAGGTTCAACTCTCTGATTTGAATACATACATCCCAAAAGAAGTTACTGAGAATTCTTCTGTCTAGCATTATGTGAAGAAATCCCGTTTCCAACGAAAGCCTCAAAGAGGTCCAAATATCCAGTTGCAGAATTTACAAACTGACTGTTTCCAAACTCATCTATGAAAAGAAAGGTTAAACTCTGTGAGTTGAATGCACATATCACAAAGTAGTTCCTGAGAATGATTCTGTCTAGTTTTTATACGAAGATATTTCCTTTTCCACCAATGGCCTCAAAGTGCTTGAAATCTCCCCTTGCAAATTCCACAGACAAGTGTCTCAAATCTGCACTGTCTAAAGGAAGGTTCAACCCTGTGAGTTGAATACACACACACAGAAAAAAATTCACTGAGAATTCTATTGTCTATCATTACACGAAGAAATCCCGTTTACTACGAAGGCCTCAAAGAGGTCCAAATATCCAGCTGCAGACATTACAAACTGAGTGTTTCCAAAGTGCTCTATGAAAAGAAGTGTTAAACACTGTGAGTTCAATGCACACATCCCAAAGCAGTTTCTGAGAATGATTCCGTCTATTTTTTCTACGAAGATATTTCCTTTTCTGCCGTTGGCCTCAAAGCGCTTGAAATCTCCACTTGCAAATTCCACAAAAAGAGAGTTTCAAATCTGCTCTGTCTAAAGGAAGGTTCAACTCTGTGAGTTGAATACACACCACAAAAAGAAGTTACTGAGAATTCTTCTGTCTAGCATTATATGAAAAATCCCGTTTCCAACGAAGGCCACAAAGAGGTCCAAATATCCACTTGCAGATTCTGCAAAAAGAGTGTTTCCAAACTGCTCTATGAAAAGAAACGTTAAACTCTGTGAGTTGAACGCAAACATCACAAAGTAGTTTCTGAGAATGACTCCGTCTAGTTTTTATACGAAGATATTTCCTTTCCTACCATTCACTTCAAAGCGCTTGAAGTCTCCCCCTGAAAATTCCACAAAAAGTGTTTCCAATCTGCTCCGCCTAAAGGAAGCTTCAACTCTGTGACTTGAATACCCACAACCCAAAGAAGTTACTGAGAATTCTTCTGTCTAGCATTATATGAAGAAATCCCGTTTCCAACGAAGGCCTCAAATACATCCAAATATCCAGTTGCTGACTTTACAAACTGAGTGTTTCCAAACTGCTCTATGAAAAGAAAGGTTAAACACTGTGAGTTGAACACACACGTACCAAAGTAGTTTCTGAGAATGATTCTGTCTAGTTTGCATACGAAGATATTTCCTTTTCTACCATTGGCCTCAAAGCTCTGAAATCTCCACTTGCAAATTCCACAAAAAGAGAGTTTCAAATCTGCTGTTTCTAAAGGAAAGTTCAACTCTGAGAGTTGAATACACACCAGAAAAAGCAGTTACTGAGAAGTCTTCTGTCTAGCATTATATGAAGAAATCCCATTTCCAACGAAGACTTCAAAGAGGTCCAAATATCCACTTGCAGATTCTGCAAAAAGAGTGTTTCGAAACAACTGTATGAAAAGAAAGGTTAAACACTGTGAGTTGAACGCACACATTGCAAAGCAGTTTCTGAGAATGATTCCGTCTAATTATTATACGAAGGTATTTCCTTTTCTATCATTGGCCTCAAAGCGCTTGATACCTCCACCTGAAAATTCCACAAAAAGAGTGTTTCCAATCTACTCTGTCTAAAGGAACGTTCAACTCTGTGAGTTGAATACACACACACAGAAAGAATTCACTGAGAATTCTTCTGTCTGGCATTACATGAAGAAATCCCGTTTCCAACGAAGGCCTCAAAGAGGTCCAAATATCCACTTGCAGATTCTGCAAAAAGAGTGTTTCAAAACCGCTCCATTAAAAGGAATGTTGAACTCTGTGAGTTGAATGCAAACATCACAACTCAGTTTCTGAGAATGCTTCTGACTAGATTTTATGGTAAGATATTTCCTTTTCTACCGTAGGCTTCAATGCCCTCTAAATACACCCTTGCAAATTCTACAAAGAGACTGTTTCATAACTGCTCTATAGGAAGAAAGGTTGAACTCTGTGAGTTGACTGCAGAGATCACAACGTGGTTTCTGCGAATGATTCTTCGCAGTTTTTACATGAAGATATTTCGTTGTCTACCGTAGGCTTCAAAGCACTCAAAGTATTCTCTTGGAACTTTTACAAAAAGAGTGTTAGAAAACTGCTCTTTCCAAAGTAAGGTTCAACTCTGTGAGTTGAATGCACACATAACAAACAAGAAGTTTCTGAGAATTCTTCTGTCCTGGTTTATATGAAAAAATCCCGTTTCCAACGAAGGCCTCAAAGACGTTTAAATATCCACTTGCAGACTTCACAAACAGAGTGTTTCCAAACTGCTCTATGAAAAGAAAGGTTAAACTCTGTGAGTTGAACGCACACATCACAAAGTAGTTTCTGAGAATGATACTGTCCAGTTTTTATACGAAGAGATTTCCTTTCCTACCATTGGCGTCAAAGCGCTAGAATTCTCCACTTGCAAATTCCACAAAAAGAGAGTTTCCAATCTGCTCTGCCTAAAGGCAGGTTCAACTCTGTGAGTTGAATACACACACACAAGGAAGCTACTGAGAATTCTTTTGTCAAGAATTATAAGAAGAAATCCCGTTTCCAACGAAGGCCTCAAAGAGTTCCAAATATCCACTTGCACACTGTACACACTAAGTCTTTCCAAACTGCTCTATGCAAAGAAATGTTCAACCCTGTGAGTTTAATGCACACATCACAAAGCAGTTTCTGAGAATGATTCCCTCTAGTTTTTATACGAAGATAGCCTTTTCTACCATTGGACTCAAGGCTCTTGGAATCTCCACCTGAAAATTCCGCAAAAAGCGTGTTTCCAATGCGCTCTGTCTAAAGGAAGGTTCAACTCTCTGAGTTGAATACATACATCCCAAAAGAAGTTACTGAGAATTCTTCTGTCTAGCATTATGTGAAGAAATCCCGTTTCCAACGAAAGCCTCAAAGAGGTCCTAATATCCAGTTGCAGAATTTACAAACTGACTGTTTCCAAACTCATCTATGAAAAGAAAGGTTAAACCCTGTGAGTTGAACGCACATATCACAAAGTAGTTCCTGAGAATGATTCTGTCTAGTTTTTATACGAAGATATTTCCTTTTCCACCAATGGCCTCAAATTGCTTGAAATCTCCCCTTGCAAATTCCACAGAAAAGTGTTTCAAATCTGCACTGTCTGAAGGAAGGTTCAACCCTGTGAGTTGAATACACACACACAGAAAAAAATTCACTGAGAATTCTATTGTCTATCATTACACGAAGAAATCCCGTTTACTACGAAGGCCTCAAAGAGGTCCAAATATCCAGCTGCAGACATTATAAACTGAGTGTTTCCAAAGTGCTCTATGAAAAGAAGTGTTAAACACTGTGAGTTCAATGCACACATCCCAAAGCAGTTTCTGAGAATGATTCCGTCTATTTTTTCTACGAAGATATTTCCTTTTCTGCCGTTGGCCTCAAAGCGCTTGAAATCTCCACTTGCAAATTCCACAAAAAGAGAGTTTCAAATCTGCTCTGTCTAAAGGAAGGTTCAACTCTGTGAGTTGAATACACACCACAAAAAGAAGTTACTGAGAATTCTTCTGTCTAGCATTATATGAAAAATCCCGTTTCCAACGAAGGCCACAAAGAGGTCCAAATATCCACTTGCAGATTCTGCAAAAAGAGTGTTTCCAAACTGCTCTATGAAAAGAAACGTTAAACTCTGTGAGTTGAACGCAAACATCACAAAGTAGTTTCTGAGAATGACTCCGTCTAGTTTTTATACGAAGATATTTCCTTTCCTACCATTCACTTCAAAGCGCTTGAAGTCTCCCCCTGAAAATTCCACAAAAAGTGTTTCCAATCTGCTCCGCCTAAAGGAAGCTTCAACTCTGTGAGTTGAATACCCACAACCCAAAGAAGTTACTGAGAATTCTTCTGTCTAGCATTATATGAAGAAATCCCGTTTCCAACGAAGGCCTCAAATACATCCAAATATCCAGTTGCTGACTTTACAAACTGAGTGTTTCCAAACTGCTCTATGAAAAGAAAGGTTAAACACTGTGAGTTGAACACACACGTACCAAAGTAGTTTCTGAGAATGATTCTGTCTAGTTTGCATACGAAGATATTTCCTTTTCTACCATTGGCCTCAAAGCTCTGAAATCTCCACTTGCAAATTCCACAAAAAGAGAGTTTCAAATCTGCTGTTTCTAAAGGAAAGTTCAACTCTGAGAGTTGAATACACACCAGAAAAAGCAGTTACTGAGAAGTCTTCTGTCTAGCATTATATGAAGAAATCCCATTTCCAACGAAGACTTCAAAGAGGTCCAAATATCCACTTGCAGATTCTGCAAAAAGAGTGTTTCGAAACAACTGTATGAAAAGAAAGGTTAAACACTGTGAGTTGAACGCACACATTGCAAAGCGGTTTCTGAGAATGATTCCGTCTAATTATTATACGAAGGTATTTCCTTTTCTATCATTGGCCTCAAAGCGCTTGATACCTCCACCTGAAAATTCCACAAAAAGAGTGTTTCCAATCTACTCTGTCTAAAGGAACGTTCAACTCTGTGAGTTGAATACACACACACAGAAAGAATTCACTGAGAATTCTTCTGTCTGGCATTACATGAAGAAATCCCGTTTCCAACGAAGGCCTCAAAGAGGTCCAAATATCCACTTGCAGATTCTGCAAAAAGAGTGTTTCAAAACCGCTCCATTAAAAGGAATGTTGAACTCTGTGAGTTGAATGCAAACATCACAACTCAGTTGCTGAGAATGCTTCTGACTAGATTTTATGGTAAGATATTTCCTTTTCTACCGTAGGCTTCAATGCCCTCTAAATACACCCTTGCAAATTCTACAAAGAGACTGTTTCATAACTGCTCTATAGGAAGAAAGGTTGAACTCTGTGAGTTGACTGCAGAGATCACAACGTGGTTTCTGCGAATGATTCTTTGTAGTTTTTACATGAAGATATTTCGTTGTCTACCGTAGGCTTCAAAGCACTCAAAGTATTCACTTGGAACTTTCACAAAAAGAGTGTTAGAAAACTGCTCTTTCCAAAGTAAGGTTCAACTCTGTGAGTTGAATGCACACATAACAAACAAGAAGTTTCTGAGAATTCTTCTGTCCTGGTTTATATGAAGAAATCCCGTTTCCAACGAAGGCCTCAAAGACGTTTAAATATCCACTAGCAGACTTCACAAACAGAGTGTTTCCAAACTGCTCTATGAAAAGAAAGGGTAAACACTGTGAGTTGAACGCACACATCACAAAGTAGTTTCTGAGAATGATACTGTCTAGTTTTTATACGAAGATATTTCCTTTCTACCATTGGCGTCAAAGCGCTAGAATTCTCCACTTGCAAATTCCACAAAAAGAGTGTTTCCAATCTGCTCTGTCTAAAGGAAGGTTCAACTCTGTGAGTTGAATACACACACACAAAGAAGCTACTGAGAATTCTTTTGTCAAGAATTATAAGAAGAAATCCCGTTTCCAACGAAGGCCTCAAAGAGTTCCAAATATCCACTTGCACACTGCACAAACTAAGTCTTTCCAAACTGCTCTATGCAAAGAAATGTTCAACTCTGTGAGTTTAATACACACATCACAAAGCAGTTTCTGAGAATGATACTGTCTAGTTTTTATACGAAGATATTTCCTTTTGTACCATTGGCCTCATACTGCTAGAATTTTCCACTTGCAAATTCCACAAAAAGAGTGTTTCCAATCCGCTCTGTCTAAAGGAAGGTTCAACTCTCTGATTTGAATACATACATCCCAAAAGAAGTTACTGAGAATTCTTCTGTCTAGCATTATGTGAAGAAATCCCGTTTCCAACGAAAGCCTCCAAGAGGTCCAAATATCCAGTTGCAGAATTTACAAACTGACTGTTTCCAAACTCATCTATGAAAAGGAAGGTTAAACTCTGTGAGTTGAATGCACATATCACAAAGTAGTTCCTGAGAATGATTCTGTCTAGTTTTTATACGAAGATATTTCCTTTTCCACCAATGGCCTCAAAGTGCTTGAAATCTCCCCTTGCAAATTCCACAGACAAGTGTCTCAAATCTGCACTGTCTAAAGGAAGGTTCAACCCTGTGAGTTGAATACACACACACAGAAAAAAATTCACTGAGAATTCTATTGTCTATCATTACACGAAGAAATCCCGTTGACTACGAAGGCCTCAAAGAGGTCCAAATATCCAGCTGCAGACATTACAAACTGAGTGTTTCCAAAGTGCTCTATGAAAAGAAGTGTTAAACACTGTGAGTTCAATGCACACATCCCAAAGCAGTTTCTGAGAATGATTCCGTCTATTTTTTCTACGAAGATATTTCCTTTTCTGCCGTTGGCCTCAAAGCGCTTGAAATCTCCACTTGCAAATTCCACAAAAAGAGAGTTTCAAATCTGCTCTGTCTAAAGGAAGGTTCAACTCTGTGAGTTGAATACACACCACAAAAAGAAGTTACTGAGAATTCTTCTGTCTAGCATTATATGAAAAATCCCGTTTCCAACGAAGGCCACAAAGAGGTCCAAATATCCACTTGCAGATTCTGCAAAAAGAGTGTTTCCAAACTGCTCTATGAAAAGAAACGTTAAACTCTGTGAGTTGAACGCAAACATCACAAAGTAGTTTCTGAGAATGACTCCGTCTAGTTTTTATACGAAGATATTTCCTTTCCTACCATTCACTTCAAAGCGCTTGAAGTCTCCCCCTGAAAATTCCACAAAAAGTGTTTCCAATCTGCTCCGCCTAAAGGAAGCTTCAACTCTGTGACTTGAATACCCACAACCCAAAGAAGTTACTGAGAATTCTTCTGTCTAGCATTATATGAAGAAATCCCGTTTCCAACGAAGGCCTCAAATACATCCAAATATCCAGTTGCTGACTTTACAAACTGAGTGTTTCCAAACTGCTCTATGAAAAGAAAGGTTAAACACTGTGAGTTGAACACACACGTACCAAAGTAGTTTCTGAGAATGATTCTGTCTAGTTTGCATACGAAGATATTTCCTTTTCTACCATTGGCCTCAAAGCTTTGAAATCTCCACTTGCAAATTCCACAAAAAGAGAGTTTCAACTCTGCTGTTTCTAAAGGAAAGTTCAACTCTGAGAGTTGAATACACACCAGAAAAAGCAGTTACTGAGAAGTCTTCTGTCTAGCATTATATGAAGATATCCCATTTCCAACGAAGACTTCAAAGAGGTCCAAATATCCACTTGCAGATTCTGCAAAAAGAGTGTTTCGAAACAACTGTATGAAAAGAAAGGTTAAACACTGTGAGTTGAACGGCACACATTGCAAAGCAGTTTCTGAGAATGATTCCGTCTAATTATTATACGAAGGTATTTCCTTTTCTATCATGGGCCTCAAAGCGCTTGATACCTCCACCTGAAAATTCCACAAAAAGAGTGTTTCCAATCTACTCTGTCTAAAGGAACGTTCAACTCTGTGAGTTGAATACACACACACAGAAAGAATTCACTGAGAGTTCTTCTGTCTGGCATTACATGAAGAAATCCCGTTTCCAACGAAGGCCTCAAAGAGGTCCAAATATCCACTTGCAGATTCTGCAAAAAGAGTGTTTCAAAACCGCTCCATTAAAAGGAATGTTGAACTCTGTGAGTTGAATGCAAACATCACAACTCAGTTTCTGAGAATGCTTCTGACTAGATTTTATGGTAAGATATTTCCTTTTCTACCGTAGGCTTCAATGCCCTCTAAATACACCCTTGCAAATTCTACAAAGAGACTGTTTCATAACTGCTCTATAGGAAGAAAGGTTGAACTCTGTGAGTTGACTGCAGAGATCACAACGTGGTTTCTGCGAATGATTCTTTGTAGTTTTTACATGAAGATATTTCGTTGTCAACCGTAGGCTTCAAAGCACTCAAAGTATTCACTTGGAACTTTTACAAAACGAGTGTTAGGAAACTGCTCTTTCCAAAGTAAGGTTCAACTCTGTGAGTTGAATGCACACATAACAATCAAGAAGTTTCTGAGAATTCTTCTGTCCTGGTTTATATGAAAAAATCCCGTTTCCAACGAAGGCCTCAAAGACGTTTAAATATCCACTTGCAGACTTCACAAACAGAGGGTTTCCAAACCGCTCTATGAAAAGAAAGGTTAAACTCTGTGAGTTGAACGCACACATCACAAAGTAGCTTCTGAGAATGATACTGTCTAGTTTTTATACGAAGATATTTCCTTTCTACCATTGGCGTCAAAGCGCTAGAATTCTCCACTTGCAAATTCCACAAAAAGAGTGTTTCCAATCTGCTCTGTCTAAAGGAAGGTTCAACTCTGTGAGTTGAATACACACACACAAAGAAGCTACTGAGAATTCTTTTGTCAAGAATTATAAGAAGAAATCCCGTTTCCAACGAAGGCCTCAAAGAGTTCCAAATATCCACTTGCACACTGCACAAACTAAGTCTTTCCAAACTGCTCTATGCAAAGAAATGTTCAACTCTGTGAGTTTAATACACACATCACAAAGCAGTTTCTGAGAATGATACTGTCTAGTTTTTATACGAAGATATTTCCTTTTGTACCATTGGCCTCATACTGCTAGAATTTTCCACTTGCAAATTCCACAAAAAGAGTGTTTCCAATCCGCTCTGTCTAAAGGAAGGTTCAACTCTCTGATTTGAATACATACATCCCAAAAGAAGTTACTGAGAATTCTTCTGTCTAGCATTATGTGAAGAAATCCCGTTTCCAACGAAAGCCTCAAAGAGGTCCAAATATCCAGTTGCAGAATTTACAAACTGACTGTTTCCAAACTCATCTATGAAAAGAAAGGTTAAACTCTGTGAGTTGAATGCACATATCACAAAGTAGTTCCTGAGAATGATTCTGTCTAGTTTTTATACGAAGTTATTTCCTTTTCCACCAATGGCCTCAAAGTGCTTGAAATCTCCCCTTGCAAATTCCACAGACAAGTGTTTCAAATCTGCACTGTCTAAAGGAAGGTTCAACCCTGTGAGTTGAATACACACACACAGAAAAAAATTCACTGAGAATTCTATTGTCTATCATTACACGAAGAAATCCCGTTTACTACGAAGGCCTCAAAGAGGTCCAAATATCCAGCTGCAGACATTACAAACTGAGTGTTTCCAAAGTGCTCTATGAAAAGAAGTGTTAAACACTGTGAGTTCAATGCACACATCCCAAAGCAGTTTCTGAGAATGATTCCGTCTATTTTTTCTACGAAGATATTTCCTTTTCTGCCGTTGGCCTCAAAGCGCTTGAAATCTCCACTTGCAAATTCCACAAAAAGAGAGTTTCAAATCTGCTCTGTCTAAAGGAAGGTTCAACTCTGTGAGTTGAATACACACCACAAAAAGAAGTTACTGAGAATTCTTCTGTCTAGCATTATATGAAAAATCCCGTTTCCAACGAAGGCCACAAAGAGGTCCAAATATCCACTTGCAGATTCTGCAAAAAGAGTGTTTCCAAACTGCTCTATGAAAAGAAACGTTAAACTCTGTGAGTTGAACGCAAACATCACAAAGTAGTTTCTGAGAATGACTCCGTCTAGTTTTTATACGACGATATTTCCTTTCCTACCATTCACTTCAAAGCGCTTGAAGTCTCCCCCTGAAAATTCCACAAAAAGTGTTTCCAATCTGCTCCGCCTAAAGGAAGCTTCAACTCTGTGACTTGAATACCCACAACCCAAAGAAGTTACTGAGAATTCTTCTGTCTCGCATTATAGGAAGAAATCCCGTTTCCAACGAAGGCCTCAAATACATCCACATATCCAGTGGCTGACTTTACAAACTGAGTGTTTCCAAACTGCTCTATGAAAAGAAAGGTTAAACACTGTGAGTTGAACACACACGTACCAAAGTAGTTTGCTGAGAATGATTCTGTCTAGTTTGCATACGAAGATATTTCCTTTTCTACCATTGGCCTCAAAGCTCTGAAATCTCCACTTGCAAATTCCACAAAAAGAGAGTTTCAAATCTGCTGTTTCTAAAGGAAAGTTCAACTCTGAGAGTTGAATACACACCAGAAAAAGCAGTTACTGAGAAGTCTTCTGTCTAGCATTATATGAAGAAATCCCATTTCCAACGAAGACTTCAAAGAGGTCCAAATATCCACTTGCAGATTCTGCAAAAAGAGTGTTTCGAAACAACTGTATGAAAAGAAAGGTTAAACACTGTGAGTTGAACGCACACATTGCAAAGCGGTTTCTGAGAATGATTCCGTCTAATTATTATACGAAGGTATTTCCTTTTCTATCATTGGCCTCAAAGCGCTTGATACCTCCACCTGAAAATTCCACAAAAAGAGTGTTTCCAATCTACTCTGTCTAAAGGAACGTTCAACTCTGTGAGTTGAATACACACACACAGAAAGAATTCACTGAGAATTCTTCTGTCTGGCATTACATGAAGAAATCCCGTTTCCAACGAAGGCCTCAAAGAGGTCCAAATATCCACTTGCAGATTCTGCAAAAAGAGTGTTTCAAAACCGCTCCATTAAAAGGAATGTTGAACTCTGTGAGTTGAATGCAAACATCACAACTCAGTTTCTGAGAATGCTTCTGACTAGATTTTATGGTAAGATATTTCCTTTTCTACCGTAGGCTTCAATGCCCTCTAAATACACCCTTGCAAATTCTACAAAGAGACTGTTTCATAACTGCTCTATAGGAAGAAAGGTTGAACTCTGTGAGTTGAATGCAGAGATCACAACGTGGTTTCTGCGAATGATTCTTTGTAGTTTTTACATGAAGATATTTCGTTGTCAACCGTAGGCTTCAAAGCACTCAAAGTATTCACTTGGAACTTTTACAAAACGAGTGTTAGGAAACTGCTCTTTCCAAAGTAAGGTTCAACTCTGTGAGTTGAATGCACACATAACAATCAAGAAGTTTCTGAGAATTCTTCTGTCCTGGTTTATATGAAAAAATCCCGTTTCCAACGAAGGCCTCAAAGACGTTTAAATATCCACTTGCAGACTTCACAAACAGAGGGTTTCCAAACCGCTCTATGAAAAGAAAGGTTAAACTCTGTGAGTTGAACGCACACATCACAAAGTAGCTTCTGAGAATGATACTGTCTAGTTTTTATACGAAGATATTTCCTTTCTACCATTGGCGTCAAAGCGCTAGAATTCTCCACTTGCAAATTCCACAAAAAGAGTGTTTCCAATCTGCTCTGTCTCAAGGAAGGTTCAACTCTGTGAGTTGAATACACACACACAAAGAAGCTACTGAGAATTCTTTTTTCAAGAAATTATAAGAAGAAATCCCGTTTCCAACGAAGGCCTCAAAGAGTTCCAAATATCCACTTGCACACTGCACAAACTAAGTCTTTCCAAACTGCTCTATGCAAAGAAATGTTCAACTCTGTGAGTTTAATACACACATCACAAAGCAGTTTCTGAGAATGATTACTGTCTAGTTTTTATACGAAGAATATTTCCTTTTGTACCATTGGCCTCATACTGCTAGAATTTTCCACTTGCAAATTCCACAAAAAGAGTGTTTCCAATCCGCTCTGTCTAAAGGAAGGTTCAACTCTCTGATTTGAATACATACATCCCAAAAGAAGTTACTGAGAATTCTTCTGTCTAGCATTATGTGAAGAAATCCCGTTTCCAACGAAAGCCTCAAAGAGGTCCAAATATCCAGTTGCAGAATTTACAAACTGACTGTTTCCAAACTCATCTATGAAAAGAAAGGTTAAACTCTGTGAGTTGAATGCACATATCACAAAGTAGTTCCTGAGAATGATTCTGTCTAGTTTTTATACGAAGATATTTCCTTTTCCACCAATGGCCTCAAAGTGCTTGAAATCTCCCCTTGCAAATTCCACAGACAAGTGTTTCAAATCTGCACTGTCTAAAGGAAGGTTCAACCCTGTGAGTTGAATACACACACACAGAAACAAATTCACTGAGAATTCTATTGTCTATCATTACACGAAGAAATCCCGTTTACTACGAAGGCCTCAAAGAGGTCCAAATATCCAGCTGCAGACATTACAAACTGAGTGTTTCCAAAGTGCTCTATGAAAAGAAGTGTTAAACACTGTGAGTTCAACGCACACATCCCAAAGCAGTTTCTGAGAATGATTCCGTCTATTTTTTCTACGAAGATATTTCCTTTTCTGCCGTTGGCCTCAAAGCGCTTGAAATCTCCACTTGCAAATTCCACAAAAAGAGAGTTTCAAATCTGCTCTGTCTAAAGGAAGGTTCAACTCTGTGAGTTGAATACACACCACAAAAAGAAGTTACTGAGAATTCTTCTGTCTAGCATTATATGAAAAATCCCGTTTCCAACGAAGGCCACAAAGAGGTCCAAATATCCACTTGCAGATTCTGCAAAAAGAGTGTTTCCAAACTGCTCTATGAAAAGAAACGTTAAACTCTGTGAGTTGAACGCAAACATCACAAAGTAGTTTCTGAGAATGACTCCGTCTAGTTTTTATACGAAGATATTTCCTTTCCTACCATTCACTTCAAAGCGCTTGAAGTCTCCCCCTGAAAATTCCACAAAAAGTGTTTCCAATCTGCTCCGCCTAAAGGAAGCTTCAACTCTGTGAGTTGAATACCCACAACCCAAAGAAGTTACTGAGAATTCTTCTGTCTAGCACTATATGAAGAAATCCCGTTTCCAACGAAGGCCTCAAATACATCCAAATATCCAGTTGCTGACTTTACAAACTGGGTGTTTCCAAACTGCTCTATGAAAAGAAAGGTTAAACACTGTGAGTTGAACACACACGTACCAAAGTAGTTTCTGAGAATGATTCTGTCTAGTTTGCATACGAAGATATTTCCTTTTCTACCATTGGCCTCAAAGCTCTGAAATCTCCACTTGCAAATTCCACAAAAAGAGAGTTTCAAATCTGCTGTTTCTAAAGGAAAGTTCAACTCTGAGAGTTGAATACACACCAGAAAAAGCAGTTACTGAGAAGTCTTCTGTCTAGCATTATATGAAGAAATCCCATTTCCAACGAAGACTTCAAAGAGGTCCAAATATCCACTTGCAGATTCTGCAAAAAGAGTGTTTCGAAACAACTGTATGAAAAGAAAGGTTAAACACTGTGAGTTGAACGCACACATTGCAAAGCAGTTTCTGAGAATGATTCCGTCTAATTATTATACGAAGGTATTTCCTTTTCTATCATTGGCCTCAAAGCGCTTGATACCTCCACCTGAAAATTCCACAAAAAGAGTGTTTCCAATCTACTCTGTCTAAAGGAACGTTCAACTCTGTGAGTTGAATACACACACACAGAAAGAATTCACTGAGAATTCTTCTGTCTGGCATTACATGAAGAAATCCCGTTTCCAACGAAGGCCTCAAAGAGGTCCAAATATCCACTTGCAGATTCTGCAAAAAGAGTGTTTCAAAACCGCTCCATTAAAAGGAATGTTGAACTCTGTGAGTTGAATGCAAACATCACAACTCAGTTGCTGAGAATGCTTCTGACTAGATTTTATGGTAAGATATTTCCTTTTATACCGTAGGCTTCAATGCCCTCTAAATACACCCTTGCAAATTCTACAAAGAGACTGTTTCATAACTGCTCTATAGGAAGAAAGGTTCAACTCTGTGAGTTGAATGCAGAGATCACAACGTGGTTTCTGCGAATGATTCTTTGTAGTTTTTACATGAAGATATTTCGTTGTCAACCGTAGGCTTCAAAGCACTCAAAGTATTCACTTGGAACTTTTACAAAACGAGTGTTAGGAAACTGCTCTTTCCAAAGTAAGGTTCAACTCTGTGAGTTGAATGCACACATAACAATCAAGAAGTTTCTGAGAATTCTTCTGTCCTGGTTTATATGAAAAAATCCCGTTTCCAACGAAGGCCTCAAAGACGTTTAAATATCCACTTGCAGACTTCACAAACAGAGGGTTTCCAAACTGCTCTATGAAAAGAAAGGTTAAACTCTGTGAGTTGAACGCACACATCACAAAGTAGCTTCTGAGAATGATACTGTCTAGTTTTTATACGAAGATATTTCCTTTTGTACCATTGGCCTCATACTGCTAGAATTTTCCACTTGCAAATTCCACAAAAAGAGTGTTTCCAATCTGCTCTGTCTAAAGGAAGGTTCAACTCTGTGAGTTGAGTACACACACACAAAGAAGCTACTGAGAATTCTTTTGTCAAGAATTATAAGAAGAAATCCCGTTTCCAACGAAGGCCTCAAAGAGTTCCAAATATCCACTTGCACACTGCACAAACTAAGTCTTTCCAAACTGCTCTATGCAAAGAAATGTTCAACTCTGTGAGTTTAATACACACATCACAAAGCAGTTTCTGAGAATGATACTGTCTAGTTTTTATACGAAGATATTTCCTTTTGTACCATTGGCCTCATACTGCTAGAATTTTCCACTTGCAAATTCCACAAAAAGAGTGTTTCCAATCCGCTCTGTCTAAAGGAAGGTTCAACTCTCTGATTTGAATACATACATCCCAAAAGAAGTTACTGAGAATTCTTCTGTCTAGCATTATGTGAAGAAATCCCGTTTCCAACGAAAGCCTCAAAGAGGCCCAAATATCCAGTTGCAGCATTTACAAACTGACTGTTTCCAAACTCATCTATGAAAAGAAAGGTTAAACTCTGTGAGTTGAATGCACATATCACAAAGTAGTTCCTGAGAATGATTCTGTCTAGTTTTTATACGAAGATATTTCCTTTTCCACCAATGGCCTCAAAGTGCTTGAAATCTCCCCTTGCAAATTCCACAGACAAGTGTTTCAAATCTGCACTGTCTAAAGGAAGGTTCAACCCTGTGAGTTGAATACACACACACAGAAAAAAATTCACTGAGAATTCTATTGTCTATCATTACACGAAGAAATCCCGTTTACTACGAAGGCCTCAAAGAGGTCCAAATATCCAGCTGCAGACATTACAAACTGAGTGTTTCCAAAGTGCTCTATGAAAAGAAGTGTTAAACACTGTGAGTTCAATGCACACATCCCAAAGCAGTTTGCTGAGAATGATTCCGTCTATTTTTTCTACGAAGATATTTCCTTTTCTGCCGTTGGCCTCAAAGCGCTTGAAATCTCCACTTGCAAATTCCACAAAAAGAGAGTTTCAAATCTGCTCTGTCTAAAGGAAGGTTCAACTCTGTGAGTTGAATACACACCACAAAAAGAAGTTACTGAGAATTCTTCTGTCTAGCATTATATGAAAAATCCCGTTTCCAACGAAGGCCACAAAGAGGTCCAAATATCCACTTGCAGATTCTGCAAAAAGAGTGTTTCCAAACTGCTCTATGAAAAGAAACGTTAAACTCTGTGAGTTGAACGCAAACATCACAAAGTAGTTTCTGAGAATGACTCCGTCTAGTTTTTATACGAAGATATTTCCTTTTCTACCGTTGGCCTCAAAGCGCTTGAAGTCTCCCCCTGAAAATTCCACAAAAAGTTTTTCCAATCTGCTCCGCCTAAAAGAAGCTTCAGCTCTGTGAGTTGAATACCCACAACCCAAAGAAGTTACTGAGAATTCTTCTGTCTAGCATTACATGAAGAAATCCCGTTTCCAACGAAGGCCTCAAATACATCCAGATATCCAGTTGCTGACTTTACAAACTGAGTGTTTCCAAACTGCTCTATGAAAGGAAAGGTTAAACACTGTGAGTTGAACACACACGTACCAAAGTAGTTTCTGAGAATGATTCTGTCTAGTTTGCATACGAAGATATTTCCTTTTCTACCATTGGCCTCAAAGCTTTGAAATCTCCACTTGCAAATTCCACAAAAAGAGAGTTTCAACTCTGCTGTTTCTAAAGGAAAGTTCAACTCTGAGAGTTGAATACACACCAGAAAAAGCAGTTACTGAGAAGTCTTCTGTCTAGCATTATATGAAGAAATCCCATTTCCAACGAAGACTTCAAAGAGGTCCAAATATCCACTTGCAGATTCTGCAAAAAGAGTGTTTCGAAACAACTGTATGAAAAGAAAGGTTAAACACTGTGAGTTGAACGCACACATTGCAAAGCGGTTTCTGAGAATGATTCCGTCTAATTATTATACGAAGGTATTTCCTTTTCTATCATGGGCCTCAAAGCGCTTGATACCTCCACCTGAAAATTCCACTAAAAGAGTGTTTCCAATCTACTCTGTCTAAAGGAACGTTCAACTCTGTGAGTTGAATACACACACACAGAAAGAATTCACTGAGAGTTCTTCTGTCTGGCATTACATGAAGAAATCCCGTTTCCAACGAAGGCCTCAAAGAGGTCCAAATATCCACTTGCAGATTCTGCAAAAAGAGTGTTTCAAAACCGCTCCATTAAAAGGAATGTTGAACTCTGTGAGTTGAATGCAAACATCACAACTCAGTTTCTGAGAATGCTTCTGACTAGATTTTATGGTAAGATATTTCCTTTTCTACCGTAGGCTTCAATGCCCTCTAAATACACCCTTGCAAATTCTACAAAGAGACTGTTTCATAACTGCTCTATAGGAAGAAAGGTTGAACTCTGTGAGTTGAATGCAGGGATCACAACGTGGTTTCTGCGAATGATTCTTTGTAGTTTTTACATGAAGATATTTCGTTGTCAACCGTAGGCTTCAAAGCACTCAAAGTATTCACTTGGAACTTTTACAAAAAGAGTGTTAGAAAACTGCTCTTTCCAAAGTAAGGTTCAACTCTGTGAGTTGAATGCACACATAACAATCAAGAAGTTTCTGAGAATTCTTCTGTCCTGGTTTATATGAAAAAATCCCGTTTCCAACGAAGGCCTCAAAGACGTTTAAATATCCACTTGCAGACTTCACAAACAGAGGGTTTCCAAACTGCTCTATGAAAAGAAAGGTTAAACTCTGTGAGTTGAACGCACACATCACAAAGTAGCTTCTGAGAATGATACTGTCTAGTGTTTATACGAAGATATTTCCTTTCTACCATTGGCGTCAAAGCGCTAGAATTCTCCACTTGCAAATTCCACAAAAAGAGTGTTTCCAATCTGCTCTGTCTAAAGGAAGGTTCAACTCTGTGAGTTGAATACACACACACAAAGAAGCTACTGAGAATTCTTTTGTCAAGAATTATAAGAAGAAATCCCGTTTCCAACGAAGGCCTCAAAGAGTTCCAAATATCCACTTGCACACTGCACAAACTAAGTCTTTCCAAACTGCTCTATGCAAAGAAATGTTCAACTCTGTGAGTTTAATACACACATCACAAAGCAGTTTCTGAGAATGATACTGTCTAGTTTTTATACGAAGATATTTCCTTTTGTACCATTGGCCTCATACTGCTAGAATTTTCCACTTGCAAATTCCACAAAAAGAGTGTTTCCAATCCGCTCTGTCTAAAGGAAGGTTCAACTCTCTGATTTGAATACATACATCCCAAAAGAAGTTACTGAGAATTCTTCTGTCTAGCATTATGTGAAGAAATCCCGTTTCCAACGAAAGCCTCAAAGAGGTCCAAATATCCAGTTGCAGAATTTACAAACTGACTGTTTCCAAACTCATCTATGAAAAGAAAGGTTAAACTCTGTGAGTTGAATGCACATATCACAAAGTAGTTCCTGAGAATGATTCTGTCTAGTTTTCATACGAAGATATTTCCTTTTCCACCAATGGCCTCAAAGTGCTTGAAATCTCCCCTTGCAAATTCCACAGACAAGTGTCTCAAATCTGCACTGTCTAAAGGAAGGTTCAACCCTGTGAGTTGAATACACACACACAGAAAAAAATTCACTGAGAATTCTATTGTCTATCATTACCCGAAGAAATCCCGTTTACTACGAAGGCCTCAAAGAGGTCCAAATATCCAGCTGCAGACATTCCAAACTGACTGTTTCCAAAGTGCTCTATGAAAAGAAGTGTTAAACACTGTGAGTTCAATGCACACATCCCAAAGCAGTTTCTGAGAATGATTCCGTCTATTTTTTCTACGAAGATATTTCCTTTTCTGCCGTTGGCCTCAAAGCGCTTGAAATCTCCACTTGCAAATTCCACAAAAAGAGAGTTTCAAATCTGCTCTGTCTAAAGGAAGGTTCAACTCTGTGAGTTGAATACACACCACAAAAAGAAGTTACTGAGAATTCTTCTGTCTAGCATTATATGAAAAATCCCGTTTCCAACGAAGGCCACAAAGAGGTCCAAATATCCACTTGCAGATTCTGCAAAAAGAGTGTTTCCAAACTGCTCTATGAAAAGAAACGTTAAACTCTGTGAGTTGAACGCAAACATCACAAAGTAGTTTCTGAGAATGACTCCGTCTAGTTTTTATACGAAGATATTTCCTTTCCTACCATTCACTTCAAAGCGCTTGAAGTCTCCCCCTGAAAATTCCACAAAAAGTGTTTCCAATCTGCTCCGCCTAAAGGAAGCTTCAACTCTGTGACTTGAATACCCACAACCCAAAGAAGTTACTGAGAATTCTTCTGTCTAGCATTATATGAAGAAATCCCGTTTCCAACGAAGGCCTCAAATACATCCAAATATCCAGTTGCTGACTTTACAAACTGAGTGTTTCCAAACTGCTCTATGAAAAGAAAGGTTAAACACTGTGAGTTGAACACACACGTACCAAAGTAGTTTCTGAGAATGATTCTGTCTAGTTTGCATACGAAGATATTTCCTTTTCTACCATTGGCCTCAAAGCTCTGAAATCTCCACTTGCAAATTCCACAAAAAGAGAGTTTCAAATCTGCTGTTTCTAAAGGAAAGTTCAACTCTGAGAGTTGAATACACACCAGAAAAAGCAGTTACTGAGAAGTCTTCTGTCTAGCATTATATGAAGAAATCCCATTTCCAACGAAGACTTCAAAGAGGTCCAAATATCCACTTGCAGATTCTGCAAAAAGAGTGTTTCGAAACAACTGTATGAAAAGAAAGGTTAAACACTGTGAGTTGAACGCACACATTGCAAAGCAGTTTCTGAGAATGATTCCGTCTAATTATTATACGAAGGTATTTCCTTTTCTATCATTGGCCTCAAAGCGCTTGATACCTCCACCTGAAAATTCCACAAAAAGAGTGTTTCCAATCTACTCTGTCTAAAGGAACGTTCAACTCTGTGAGTTGAATACACACACACAGAAAGAATTCACTGAGAATTCTTCTGTCTGGCATTACATGAAGAAATCCCATTTCCAACGAAGGCCTCAAAGAGGTCCAAATATCCACTTGCAGATTCTGCAAAAAGAGTGTTTCAAAACCGCTCCATTAAAAGGAATGTTGAACTCTGTGAGTTGAATGCAAACATCACAACTCAGTTTCTGAGAATGCTTCTGACTAGATTTTATGGTAAGATATTTCCTTTTCTACCGTAGGCTTCAATGCCCTCTAAATACACCCTTGCAAATTCTACAAAGAGACTGTTTCATAACTGCTCTATAGGAAGAAAGGTTGAACTCTGTGAGTTGAATGCAGAGATCACAACGTGGTTTCTGCGAATGATTCTTTGTAGTTTTTACATGAAGATATTTCGTTGTCTACCGTAGGCTTCAAAGCACTCAAAGTATTCACTTGGAACTTTTACAAAAAGAGTGTTAGAAAACTGCTCTTTCCAAAGTAAGGTTCAACTCTGTGAGTTGAATGCACACATAACAAACAAGAAGTTTCTGAGAATTCTTCTGTCCTGGTTTATATGAAAAAATCCCGTTTCCAACGAAGGCCTCAAAGACGTTTAAATATCCACTTGCAGACTTCACAAACAGAGGGTTTCCAAACTGCTCTATGAAAAGAAAGGTTAAACTCTGTGAGTTGAACGCACACATCACAAAGTAGCTTCTGAGAATGATACTGTCTAGTTTTTATACGAAGATATTTCCTTTTGTACCATTGGCCTCATACTGCTAGAATTTTCCACTTGCAAATTCCACAAAAAGAGTGTTTCCAATCTGCTCTGTCTAAAGGAAGGTTCAACTCTGTGAGTTGAGTACACACACACAAAGAAGCTACTGAGAATTCTTTTGTCAAGAATTATAAGAAGAAATCCCGTTTCCAACGAAGGCCTCAAAGAGTTCCAAATATCCACTTGCACACTGCACAAACTAAGTCTTTCCAAACTGCTCTATGCAAAGAAATGTTCAACTCTGTGAGTTTAATACACACATCACAAAGCAGTTTCTGAGAATGATACTGTCTAGTTTTTATACGAAGATATTTCCTTTTGTACCATTGGCCTCATACTGCTAGAATTTTCCACTTGCAAATTCCACAAAAAGAGTGTTTCCAATCCGCTCTGTCTAAAGGAAGGTTCAACTCTCTGATTTGAATACATACATCCCAAAAGAAGTTCCTGAGAATTCTTCTGTCTAGCATTATGTGAAGAAATCCCGTTTCCAACGAAAGCCTCAAAGAGGTCCAAATATCCAGTTGCAGAATTTACAAACTGACTGTTTCCAAACTCATCTATGAAAAGAAAGGTTAAACTCTGGGAGTTGAATGCACATATCACAAAGTAGTTCCTGAGAATGATTTCTGGTCTAGTTTTTATACGAAGATATTTCCTTTTCCACCAATGGCCTCAAAGTGCTTGAAATCTCCCCTTGCAAATTCCACAGAAAAGTGTTTCAAATCTGCACTGTCTGAAGGAAGGTTCAACCCTGTGAGTTGAATACACACACACAGAAAAAATTTCACTGAGAATTCTATTGTCTATCATTACACGAAGAAATCCCGTTTACTACGAAGGCCTCAAAGAGGTCCAAATATCCAGCTGCAGACATTACAAACTGAGTGTTTCCAAAGTGCTCTATGAAAAGAAGTGTTAAACACTGTGAGTTCAATGCACACATCCCAAAGCAGTTTCTGAGAATGATTCCGTCTATTTTTTCTACGAAGATATTTCCTTTTCTGCCGTTGGCCTCAAAGCGCTTGAAATCTCCACTTGCAAATTCCACAAAAAGAGAGTTTCAAATCTGCTCTGTCTAAAGGAAGGTTCAACTCTGTGAGTTGAATACACACCACAAAAAGAAGTTACTGAGAATTCTTCTGTCTAGCATTATATGAAAAATCCCGTTTCCAACGAAGGCCACAAAGAGGTCCAAATATCCACTTGCAGATTCTGCAAAAAGAGTGTTTCCAAACTGCTCTATGAAAAGAAACGTTAAACTCTGTGAGTTGAACGCAAACATCACAAAGTAGTTTCTGAGAATGACTCCGTCTAGTTTTTATACGAAGATATTTCCTTTCCTACCATTCACTTCAAAGCGCTTGAAGTCTCCCCCTGAAAATTCCACAAAAAGTGTTTCCAATCTGCTCCGCCTAAAGGAAGCTTCAACTCTGTGACTTGAATACCCACAACCCAAAGAAGTTACTGAGAATTCTTCTGTCTAGCATTATATGAAGAAATCCCGTTTCCAACGAAGGCCTCAAATACATCCAAATATCCAGTTGCTGACTTTACAAACTGAGTGTTTCCAAACTGCTCTATGAAAAGAAAGGTTAAACACTTGTGAGTTGAACACACACGTACCAAAGTAGTTTCTGAGAATGATTCTGTCTAGTTTGCATACGAAGATATTTCCTTTTCTACCATTGGCCTCAAAGCTCTGAAATCTCCACTTGCAAATTCCACAAAAAGAGAGTTTCAAATCTGCTGTTTCTAAAGGAAAGTTCAACTCTGAGAGTTGAATACACACCAGAAAAAGCAGTTACTGAGAAGTCTTCTGTCTAGCATTATATGAAGAAATCCCATTTCCAACGAAGACTTCAAAGAGGTCCAAATATCCACTTGCAGATTCTGCAAAAAGAGTGTTTCGAAACAACTGTATGAAAAGAAAGGTTAAACACTGTGAGTTGAACGCACACATTGCAAAGCAGTTTCTGAGAATGATTCCGTCTAATTATTATACGAAGGTATTTCCTTTTCTATCATTGGCCTCAAAGCGCTTGATACCTCCACCAGAAAATTCCACAAAAAGAGTGTTTCCAATCTACTCTGTCTAAAGGAACGTTCAACCCTGTGAGTTGAATACACACACACAGAAAGAATTCACTGAGAATTCTTCTGTCTGGCATTACATGAAGAAATCCCGTTTCCAACGAAGGCCTCAAAGAGGTCCAAATATCCACTTGCAGATTCTGCAAAAAGAGTGTTTCAAAACCGCTCCATTAAAAGGAATGTTGAACTCTGTGAGTTGAATGCAAACATCACAACTCAGTTGCTGAGAATGCTTCTGACTAGATTTTATGGTAAGATATTTCCTTTTCTACCGTAGGCTTCAATGCCCTCTAAATACACCCTTGCAAATTCTACAAAGAGACTGTTTCATAACTGCTCTATAGGAAGAAAGGTTGAACTCTGTGAGTTGACTGCAGAGATCACAACGTGGTTTCTGCGAATGATTCTTTGTAGTTTTTACATGAAGATATTTCGTTGTCAACCGTAGGCTTCAAAGCACTCAAAGTATTCACTTGGAACTTTTACAAAAAGAGTGTTAGAAAACTGCTCTTTCCAAAGTAAGGTTCAACTCTGTGAGTTGAATGCACACATAACAATCAAGAAGTTTCTGAGAATTCTTCTGTCCTGGTTTATATGAAGAAATCCCGTTTCCAACGAAGGCCTCAAAGACGTTTAAATATCCACTTGCAGACTTCACAAACAGAGTGTTTCCAAACTGCTCTATGAAAAGAAAGGGTAAACACTGTGAGTTGAACGCACACCTCACAAAGTAGTTTACTGAGAATGATAACTGTCTAGTTTTTATACGAAGATATTTCCTTTCTACCATTGGCGTCAAAGCGCTAGAATTCTCCACTTGCAAATTCCACAAAAAGAGTGTTTCCAATCTGCTCTGTCTAAAGGAAGGTTCAACTCTGTGAGTTGAATACACACACACAAAGAAGCTACTGAGAATTCTTTTGTCAAGAATTATAAGAAGAAATCCCGTTTCCAACGAAGGCCTCAAAGAGTTCCAAATATCCACTTGCACACTGCACAAACTA
This sequence comes from Homo sapiens, assembly GCF_000001405.40. Classification (NCBI taxonomy): domain Eukaryota; kingdom Metazoa; phylum Chordata; class Mammalia; order Primates; family Hominidae; genus Homo; species Homo sapiens. The sequence continues at coordinate 93,538,964 of NC_000003.12, read as the reverse complement.
AGTCTTTCCAAACTGCTCTATGCAAAGAAATGTTCAACTCTGTGAGTTTAATACACACATCACAAAGCAGTTTCTGAGAATGATACTGTCTAGTTTTTATACGAAGATATTTCCTTTTGTACCATTGGCCTCATACTGCTAGAATTTTCCACTTGCAAATTCCACAAAAAGAGTGTTTCCAATCCGCTCTGTCTAAAGGAAGGTTCAACTCTCTGATTTGAATACATACATCCCAAAAGAAGTTACTGAGAATTCTTCTGTCTAGCATTATGTGAAGAAATCCCGTTTCCAACGAAAGCCTCAAAGAGGTCCAAATATCCAGTTGCAGAATTTACAAACTGACTGTTTCCAAACTCATCTATGAAAAGAAAGGTTAAACTCTGTGAGTTGAATGCACATATCACAAAGTAGTTCCTGAGAATGATTCTGTCTAGTTTTTATACGAAGATATTTCCTTTTCCACCAATGGCCTCAAAGTGCTTGAAATCTCCCCTTGCAAATTCCACAGACAAGTGTTTCAAATCTGCACTGTCTAAAGGAAGGTTCAACCCTGTGAGTTGAATACACACACACAGGAAAAAATTGACTGAGAATTCTATTGTCTATCATTACACGAAGAAATCCCGTTTACTACGAAGGCCTCAAAGAGGTCCAAATATCCAGCTGCAGACATTACAAACTGAGTGTTTCCAAAGTGCTCTATGAAAAGAAGTGTTAAACACTGTGAGTTCAATGCACACATCCCAAAGCAGTTTCTGAGAATGATTCCGTCTATTTTTTCTACGAAGATATTTCCTTTTCTGCCGTTGGCCTCAAAGCGCTTGAAATCTCCACTTGCAAATTCCACAAAAAGAGAGTTTCAAATCTGCTCTGTCTAAAGGAAGGTTCAACTCTGTGAGTTGAATACACACCACAAAAAGAAGTTACTGAGAATTCTTCTGTCTAGCATTATATGAAAAATCCCGTTTCCAACGAAGGCCACAAAGAGGTCCAAATATCCACTTGCAGATTCTGCAAAAAGAGTGTTTCCAAACTGCTCTATGAAAAGAAACGTTAAACTCTGTGAGTTGAACGCAAACATCACAAAGTAGTTTCTGAGAATGACTCCGTCTAGTTTTTATACGAAGATATTTCCTTTCCTACCATTCACTTCAAAGCGCTTGAAGTCTCCCCCTGAAAATTCCACAAAAAGTGTTTCCAATCTGCTCCGCCTAAAGGAAGCTTCAACTCTGTGACTTGAATACCCACAACCCAAAGAAGTTACTGAGAATTCTTCTGTCTAGCATTATATGAAGAAATCCCGTTTCCAACGAAGGCCTCAAATACATCCAAATATCCAGTTGCTGACTTTACAAACTGAGTGTTTCCAAACTGCTCTATGAAAAGAAAGGTTAAACACTGTGAGTTGAACACACACGTACCAAAGTAGTTTCTGAGAATGATTCTGTCTAGTTTGCATACGAAGATATTTCCTTTTCTACCATTGGCCTCAAAGCTCTGAAATCTCCACTTGCAAATTCCACAAAAAGAGAGTTTCAAATCTGCTGTTTCTAAAGGAAAGTTCAACTCTGAGAGTTGAATACACACCAGAAAAAGCAGTTACTGAGAAGTCTTCTGTCCAGCATTATATGAAGAAATCCTTTTTCCAACAAAGACTTCAAAGAAGTCCAAAAAAATATCCACTTGAAGATTCTGCAAAAAGAGTGTTTCGAAACAACTGTATGAAAAGAAAGTTAAACTCTGTGAGTTCAACGCACACATTGCAAAGCAGTTTCTGAGAATGATTCCGTCTAATTATTATACGAAGGTATTTCCTTTTCTATCATTGGCCTCAAAGCGCTTGATACCTCCACCTGAAAATTCCACAAAAAGAGTGTTTCCAATCTACTCTGTCTAAAGGAACGTTCAACTCTGTGAGTTGAATACACACACACAGAAAGAATTCACTGAGAATTCTTCTGTCTGGCATTACATGAAGAAATCCCGTTTCCAACGAAGGCCTCAAAGAGGTCCAAATATCCACTTGCAGATTCTGCAAAAAGAGTGTTTCAAAACCGCTCCATTAAAAGGAATGTTGAACTCTGTGAGTTGAATGCAAACATCACAACTCAGTTGCTGAGAATGCTTCTGACTAGATTTTATGGTAAGATATTTCCTTTTCTACCGTAGGCTTCAATGCCCTGTAAATACACCCTTGCAAATTCTACAAAGAGACTGTTTCATAACTGCTCTATTGGAGGAAAGGTTCAACTCTGTGAGTTGAATGCAGAGATCACAACGTGGTTTCTGCGAATGATTCTTTGTAGTTTTTACATGAAGATATTTCGTTGTCTACCGTAGGCTTCAAAGCACTCAAAGTATTCACTTGGAACTTTTACAAAAAGAGTGTTAGAAAACTGCTCTTTCCAAAGTAAGGTTCAACTCTGTGAGTTGAATGCACACATAACAAACAAGAAGTTTCTGAGAATTCTTCTGTCCTGGTTTATAGGAAGAAATCCCGTTTCCAACGAAGGCCTCAAAGACGTTTAAATATCCACTTGCAGACTTCACAAACAGAGTGTTTCCAAACTGCTCTATGAAAAGAAAGGGTAAACACTGTGAGTTGAACGCACACATCACAAAGTAGTTTCTGAGAATGATACTGTCTAGTTTTTATACGAAGATATTTCCTTTCTACCATTGGCGTCAAAGCGCTAGAATTCTCCACTTGCAAATTCCACAAAAAGAGTGTTTCCAATCTGCTCTGTCTAAAGGAAGGTTCAACTCTGTGAGTTGAATACACACACACAAAGAAGCTACTGAGAATTCTTTTTTCAAGAAATTATAAGAAGAAATCCCGTTTCCAACGAAGGCCTCAAAGAGTTCCAAATATCCACTTGCACACTGCACAAACTAAGTCTTTCCAAACTGCTCTATGCAAAGAAATGTTCAACTCTGTGAGTTTAATACACACATCACAAAGCAGTTTCTGAGAATGATACTGTCTAGTTTTTATACGAAGATATTTCCTTTTGTACCATTGGCCTCATACTGCTAGAATTTTCCACTTGCAAATTCCACAAAAAGAGTGTTTCCAATCCGCTCTGTCTAAAGGAAGGTTCAACTCTCTGATTTGAATACATACATCCCAAAAGAAGTTAGTGAGAATTCTTCTGTCTAGCATTATGTGAAGAAATCCCGTTTCCAACGAAAGCCTCAAAGAGGTCCAAATATCCAGTTGCAGAATTTACAAACTGACTGTTTCCAAACTCATCTATGAAAAGAAAGGTTAAACTCTGTGAGTTGAATGCACATATCACAAAGTAGTTCCTGAGAATGATTCTGTCTAGTTTTTATACGAAGATATTTCCTTTTCCACCAATGGCCTCAAAGTGCTTGAAATCTCCCCTTGCAAATTCCACAGACAAGTGTTTCAAATCTGCACTGTCTAAAGGAAGGTTCAACCCTGTGAGTTGAATACACACACACAGAAAAAAATTCACTGAGAATTCTATTGTCTATCATTACACGAAGAAATCCCGTTTACTACGAAGGCCTCAAAGAGGTCCAAATATCCAGCTGCAGACATTACAAACTGAGTGTTTCCAAAGTGCTCTATGAAAAGAAGTGTTAAACACTGTGAGTTCAATGCACACATCCCAAAGCAGTTTCTGAGAATGATTCCGTCTATTTTTTCTACGAAGATATTTCCTTTTCTGCCGTTGGCCTCAAAGCGCTTGAAATCTCCACTTGCAAATTCCACAAAGAGAGAGTTTCAAATCTGCTCTGTCTAAAGGAAGGTTCAACTCTGTGAGTTGAATACACACCACAAAAAGAAGTTACTGAGAATTCTTCTGTCTAGCATTATATGAAAAATCCCGTTTCCAACGAAGGCCACAAAGAGGTCCAAATATCCACTTGCAGATTCTGCAAAAAGAGTGTTTCCAAACTGCTCTATGAAAAGAAACGTTAAACTCTGTGAGTTGAACGCAAACATCACAAAGTAGTTTCTGAGAATGACTCCGTCTAGTTTTTATACGAAGATATTTCCTTTCCTACCATTCACTTCAAAGCGCTTGAAGTCTCCCCCTGAAAATTCCACAAAAAGTGTTTCCAATCTGCTCCGCCTAAAGGAAGCTTCAACTCTGTGACTTGAATACCCACAACCCAAAGAAGTTACTGAGAATTCTTCTGTCTAGCATTACATGAAGAAATCCCGTTTCCAACGAAGGCCTCAAATACATCCAGATATCCAGTTGCTGACTTTACAAAGTGAGTGTTTCCAAACTGCTCTATGAAAGGAAAGGTTAAACACTGTGAGTTGAACACACACGTACCAAAGTAGTTTCTGAGAATGATTCTGTCTAGTTTGCATACGAAGATATTTCCTTTTCTACCATTGGCCTCAAAGCTTTGAAATCTCCACTTGCAAATTCCACAAAAAGAGAGTTTCAAATCTGCTGTTTCTAAAGGAAAGTTCAACTCTGAGAGTTGAATACACACCAGAAAAAGCAGTTACTGAGAAGTTTTCTGTCTAGCATTATATGAAGAAATCCCATTTCCAACGAAGACTTCAAAGAGGTCCAAATATCCACTTGCAGATTCTGCAAAATGAGTGTTTCGAAATAACTGTATGAAAAGAAAGGTTAAACGCTGTGAGTTGAACGCACACATTGCTAAGCAGTTTCTGAGAATGATTCCGTCTAATTATTAAACGAAGGTATTTCCTTTTCTATCATGGGCCTCAAAGCGCTTGATACCTCCACCTGAGAAAACCACAAAAAGAGTGTTTCCAATCTACTCTGTCTAAAGGAACGTTCAACTCTGTGAGTTGAATACACACACACAGAAAGAATTCACTGAGAGTTCTTCTGTCTGGCATTACATGAAGAAATCCCGTTTCCAACGAAGGCCTCAAAGAGGTCCAAATATCCACTTGCAGATTCTGCAAAAAGAGTGTTTCAAAACCGCTCCATTAAAAGGAATGTTGAACTCTGTGAGTTGAATGCAAACATCACAACTCAGTTTCTGAGAATGCTTCTGACTAGATTTTATGGTAAGATATTTCCTTTTCTACCGTAGGCTTCAATGCCCTCTAAATACACCCTTGCAAATTCTACAAAGAGACTGTTTCATAACTGCTCTATAGGAAGAAAGGTTGAACTCTGTGAGTTGAATGCAGAGATCACAACGTGGTTTCTGCGAATGATTCTTTGTAGTTTTTACATGAAGATATTTCGTTGTCAACCGTAGGCTTCAAAGCACTCAAAGTATTCACTTGGAACTTTTACAAAAAGAGTGTTAGAAAACTGCTCTTTCCAAAGTAAGGTTCAACTCTGTGAGTTGAATGCACACATAACAATCAAGAAGTTTCTGAGAATTCTTCTGTCCTGGTTTATAGGAAAAAATCCCGTTTCCAACGAAGGCCTCAAAGACGTTTAAATATCCACTTGCAGACTTCACAAACAGAGTGTTTCCAAACTGCTCTATGAAAAGAAAGGTTAAACTCTGTGAGTTGAACGCACACATCACAAAGTAGTTTCTGAGAATGATACTGTCTAGTTTTTATACGAAGATATTTCCTTTCTACCATTGGCGTCAAAGCGCTAGAATTCTCCACTTGCAAATTCCACAAAAAGAGTGTTTCCAATCTGCTCTGTCTAAAGGAAGGTTCAACTCTGTGAGTTGAATACACACACACAAAGAAGCTACTGAGAATTTCTTTGTCAAGAATTATAAGAAGAAATCCCGTTTCCAACGAAGGCCTCAAAGAGTTCCAAATATCCACTTGCACACTGCACAAACTAAGTCTTTCCAAACTGCTCTATGCAAAGAAATGTTCAACTCTGTGAGTTTAATACACACATCACAAAGCAGTTTCTGAGAATGATACTGTCTAGTTTTTATACGAAGATATTTCCTTTTGTACCATTGGCCTCATACTGCTAGAATTTTCCACTTGCAAATTCCACAAAAAGAGTGTTTCCAATCCGCTCTGTCTAAAGGAAGGTTCAACTCTCTGATTTGAATACATACATCCCAAAAGAAGTTACTGAGAATTCTTCTGTCTAGCATTATGTGAAGAAATCCCGTTTCCAACGAAAGCCTCAAAGAGGTCCAAATATCCAGTTGCAGAATTTACAAACTGACTGTTTCCAAACTCATCTATGAAAAGAAAGGTTAAACTCTGGGAGTTGAATGCACATATCACAAAGTAGTTCCTGAGAATGATTCTGTCTAGTTTTCATACGAAGATATTTCCTTTTCCACCAATGGCCTCAAAGTGCTTGAAATCTCCCCTTGCAAATTCCACAGACAAGTGTCTCAAATCTGCACTGTCTAAAGGAAGGTTCAACCCTGTGAGTTGAATACACACACACAGAAAAAAATTCACTGAGAATTCTATTGTCTATCATTACACGAAGAAATCCCGTTTACTACGAAGGCCTCAAAGAGGTCCAAATATCCAGCTGCAGACATTACAAACTGAGTGTTTCCAAAGTGCTCTATGAAAAGAAGTGTTAAACACTGTGAGTTCAATGCACACATCCCAAAGCAGTTTCTGAGAATGATTCCGTCTATTTTTTCTACGAAGATATTTCCTTTTCTGCCGTTGGCCTCAAAGCGCTTGAAATCTCCACTTGCAAATTCCACAAAAAGAGAGTTTCAAATCTGCTCTGTCTAAAGGAAGGTTCAACTCTGTGAGTTGAATACACACCACAAAAAGAAGTTACTGAGAATTCTTCTGTCTAGCATTATATGAAAAATCCCGTTTCCAACGAAGGCCACAAAGAGGTCCAAATATCCACTTGCAGATTCTGCAAAAAGAGTGTTTCCAAACTGCTCTATGAAAAGAAACGTTAAACTCTGTGAGTTGAACGCAAACATCACAAAGTAGTTTCTGAGAATGACTCCGTCTAGTTTTTATACGAAGATATTTCGTTTCCTACCGTTCACTTCAAAGCGCTTGAAGTCTCCCCCTGAAAATTCCACAAAAAGTGTTTCCAATCTGCTCCGCCTAAAGGAAGCTTCAACTCTGTGAGTTGAATACCCACAACCCAAAGAAGTTACTGAGAATTCTTCTGTCTAGCATTACAAGAAGAAATCCCGTTTCCAACGAAGGCCTCAAATACATCCAGATATCCAGTTGCTGACTTAACAAACTGAGTGTTTCCAAACTGCTCTATGAAAGGAAAGGTTAAACACTGTGAGTTGAACACACACGTACCAAAGTAGTTTCTGAGAATGTTTCTGTCTAGTTTGCATACGAAGATATTTCCTTTTCTACCATTGGCCTCAAAGCTTTGAAATCTCCACTTGCAAATTCCACAAAAAGAGAGTTTCAAATCTGCTGTTTCTAAAGGAAAGTTCAACTCTGAGAGTTGAATACACACCAGAAAAAGCAGTTACTGAGAAGTCTTCTGTCTAGCATTATATGAAGAAATCCCATTTCCAACGAAGACTTCAAAGAGGTCCAAATATCCACTTGCAGATTCTGCAAAAAGAGTGTTTCGAAACAACTGTATGAAAAGAAAGGTTAAACACTGTGAGTTGAACGCACACATTGCAGAGCAGTTTCTGAGAATGATTCCGTCTAATTATTATACGAAGGTATTTCCTTTTCTATCATTGGCCTCAAAGCGCTTGATACCTCCACCTGAAAATTCCACAAAAAGAGTGTTTCCAATCTACTCTGTCTAAAGGAACGTTCAACTCTGTGAGTTGAATACACACACACAGAAAGAATTCACTGAGAATTCTTCTGTCTGGCATTACATGAAGAAATCCCGTTTCCAACGAAGGCCTCAAAGAGGTCCAAATATCCACTTGCAGATTCTGCAAAAAGAGTGTTTCAAAACCGCTCCATTAAAAGGAATGTTGAACTCTGTGAGTTGAATGCAAACATCACAACTCAGTTTCTGAGAATGCTTCTGACTAGATTTTATGGTAAGATATTTCCTTTTCTACCGTAGGCTTCAATGCCCTCTAAATACACCCTTGCAAATTCTACAAAGAGACTGTTTCATAACTGCTCTATAGGAAGAAAGGTTGAACTCTGTGAGTTGAATGCAGAGATCACAACGTGGTTTCTGCGAATGATTCTTTGTAGTTTTTACATGAAGATATTTCGTTGTCAACCGTAGGCTTCAAAGCACTCAAAGTATTCACTTGGAACTTTTACAAAAAGAGTGTTAGAAAACTGCTCTTTCCAAAGTAAGGTTCAACTCTGTGAGTTGAATGCACACATAACAATCAAGAAGTTTCTGAGAATTCTTCTGTCCTGGTTTATAGGAAAAAATCCCGTTTCCAACGAAGGCCTCAAAGACGTTTAAATATCCACTTGCAGACTTCACAAACAGAGTGTTTCCAAACTGCTCTATGAAAAGAAAGGTTAAACTCTGTGAGTTGAACGCACACATCACAAAGTAGTTTCTGAGAATGATACTGTCTAGTTTTTATACGAAGATATTTCCTTTCTACCATTGGCGTCAAAGCGCTAGAATTCTCCACTTGCAAATTCCACAAAAAGAGTGTTTCCAATCTGCTCTGTCTAAAGGAAGGTTCAACTCTGTGAGTTGAATACACACACACAAAGAAGCTACTGAGAATTCTTTTGTCAAGAATTATAAGAAGAAATCCCGTTTCCAACGAAGGCCTCAAAGAGTTCCAAATATCCACTTGCACACTGCACAAACTAAGTCTTTCCAAACTGCTCTATGCAAAGAAATGTTCAACTCTGTGAGTTTAATACACACATCACAAAGCAGTTTCTGAGAATGATACTGTCTAGTTTTTATACGAAGATATTTCCTTTTGTACCATTGGCCTCATACTGCTAGAATTTTCCACTTGCAAATTCCACAAAAAGAGTGTTTCCAATCCGCTCTGTCTAAAGGAAGGTTCAACTCTCTGATTTGAATACATACATCCCAAAAGAAGTTACTGAGAATTCTTCTATCTAGCATTATGTGAAGAAATCCCGTTTCCAACGAAAGCCTCAAAGAGGTCCAAATATCCAGTTGCAGAATTTACAAACTGACTGTTTCCAAACTCATCTATGAAAAGAAAGGTTAAACTCTGGGAGTTGAATGCCCATATCACAAAGTAGTTCCTGAGAATGATTCTGTCTAGTTTTCATACGAAGATATTTCCTTTTCCACCAATGGCCTCAAAGTGCTTGAAATCTCCCCTTGCAAATTCCACAGACAAGTGTTTCAAATCTGCACTGTCTAAAGGAAGGTTCAACCCTGTGAGTTGAATACACACACACAGAAAAAAATTCACTGAGAATTCTATTGTCTATCATTACCCGAAGAAATCCCGTTTACTACGAAGGCCTCAAAGAGGTCCAAATATCCAGCTGCAGACATTCCAAACTGACTGTTTCCAAAGTGCTCTATGAAAAGAAGTGTTAAACACTGTGAGTTCAATGCACACATCCCAAAGCAGTTTCTGAGAATGATTCCGTCTATTTTTTCTACGAAGATATTTCCTTTTCTACCGTTGGCCTCAAAGCGCTTGAAATCTCCACTTGCAAATTCCACGAAAAGAGAGTTTCAAATCTGCTCTGTCTAAAGGAAGGTTCAACTCTGTGAGTTGAATACACACCACAAAAAGAAGTTACTGAGAATTTTTCTGTCTTGCATTATATGAAAAATCCCGTTTCCAACGAAGGCCACAAAGAGGTCCAAATATCCACTTGCAGATTCTGCAAAAAGAGTGTTTCCAAACTGCTCTATGAAAAGAAACGTTAAACTCTGTGAGTTGAACGCAAACATCACAAAGTAGTTTCTGAGAATGACTCCGTCTAGTTTTATACGAAGATATTTCCTTTTCTACCATTGGCCTCAGAGCGCTTGAAGTCTCCCCCTGAAAATTCCACAAAAAGTGTTTCCAATCTGCTCCGCCTAAAGGAAGCTTCAACTCTGTGAGTTGAATACCCACAACCCAAAGAAGTTACTGAGAATTCTTCTGTCTAGCATTACATGAAGAAATCCCGTTTCCAACGAAGGCCTCAAATACATCCAGATATCCAGTTGCTGACTTTACAAAATGAGTGTTTCCAAACTGCTCTATGAAAGGAAAGGTTAAACACTGTGAGTTGAACACACACGTACCAAAGTAGTTTCTGAGAATGATTCTGTCTAGTTTGCATACGAAGATATTTCCTTTTCTACCATTGGCCTCAAAGCTTTGAAATCTCCACTTGCAAATTCCACAAAAAGAGAGTTTCAAATCTGCTGTTTCTAAAGGAAAGTTCAACTCTGAGAGTTGAATACACACCAGAAAAAGCAGTTACTGAGAAGTCTTCTGTCTAGCATTATATGAAGAAATCCCATTTCCAACGAAGACTTCAAAGAGGTCCAAATATCCACTTGCAGGTTCTGCAAAAAGAGTGTATCGAAACAACTGTATGAAAAGAAAGGTTAAACGCTGTGAGTTGAAGGCACACATTGCAAAGCAGTTTCTGAGAATGATTCCGTCTAATTATTATACGAAGGTATTTCCTTTTCTATCATGGGCCTCAAAGCCCTTGATACCTCCACCTGAAAATTCCACAAAAAGAGTGTTTCCAATCTACTCTGTCTAAAGGAACGTTCAACTCTGTGAGTTGAATACACACACACAGAAAGAATTCACTGAGAGTTCTTCTGTCTGGCATTACATGAAGAAATCCCGTTTCCAACGAAGGCCTCAAAGAGGTCCAAATATCCACTTGCAGATTCTGCAAAAACAGTGTTTCAAAACCGCTCCATTAAAAGGAATGTTGAACTCTGTGAGTTGAATGCAAACATCACAACTCAGTTTCTGAGAATGCTTCTGACTACATTTTATGGTAAGATATTTCCTTTTCTACCGTAGGCTTCAATGCCCTGTAAATACACCCTTGCAAATTCAACAAAGAGACTGTTTCATAACTGCTCTATAGGAGGAAAGGTTCAACTCTGTGAGTTGAATGCAGAGATCACAACGTGGTTTCTGCGAATGATTCTTTGTAGTTTTTACATGAAGATATTTCGTTGTCTACCGTAAGGCTTCAAAGCACTCAAAGTATTCACTTGGAACTTTTACAAAAAGAGTGTTAGAAAACTGCTCTTTCCAAAGTAAGGTTCAACTCTGTGAGTTGAATGCACACATAACAAACAAGAAGTTTCTGAGAGTTCTTCTGTCCTGGTTTATATGAAGAAATCCCGTTTCCAACGAAGGCCTCAAAGACGTTTAAATATCCACTTGCAGACTTCACAAACAGAGTGTTTCCAAACTGCTCTATGAAAAGAAAGGGTAAACACTGTGAGTTGAACGCACACCTCACAAAGTAGTTTCTGAGAATGATACTGTCTAGTTTTTATACGAAGATATTTCCTTTCTACCATTGGCGTCAAAGCGCTAGAATTCTCCACTTGCAAATTCCACAAAAAGAGTGTTTCCAATCTGCTCTGTCTAAAGGAAGGTTCAACTCTGTGAGTTGAATACACACACACAAAGAAGCTACTGAGAATTCTTTTGTCAAGAATTATAAGAAGAAATCCCGTTTCCAACGAAGGCCTCAAAGAGTTCCAAATATCCACTTGCACACTGCACAAACTAAGTCTTTCCAAACTGCTCTATGCAAAGAAATGTTCAACTCTGTGAGTTTAATACACACATCACAAAGCAGTTTCTGAGAATGATACTGTCTAGTTTTTATACGAAGATATTTCCTTTTGTACCATTGGCCTCATACTGCTAGAATTTTCCACTTGCAAATTCCACAAAAAGAGTGTTTCCAATCCGCTCTGTCTAAAGGAAGGTTCAACTCTCTGATTTGAATACATACATCCCAAAAGAAGTTCCTGAGAATTCTTCTGTCTAGCATTATGTGAAGAAATCCCGTTTCCAACGAAAGCCTCAAAGAGGTCCAAATATCCAGTTGCAGAATTTACAAACTGACTGTTTCCAAACTCATCTATGAAAAGAAAGGTTAAACTCTGGGAGTTGAATGCACATATCACAAAGTAGTTCCTGAGAATGATTCTGTCTAGTTTTCATACGAAGATATTTCCTTTTCCACCAATGGCCTCAAAGTGCTTGAAATCTCCCCTTGCAAATTCCACAGACAAGTGTTTCAAATCTGCACTGTCTAAAGGAAGGTTCAACCCTGTGAGTTGAATACACACACACAGAAAAAAATTCACTGAGAATTCTATTGTCTATCATTACACGAAGAAATCCCGTTTACTACGAAGGCCTCAAAGAGGTCCAAATATCCAGCTGCAGACATTACAAACTGAGTGTTTCCAAAGTGCTCTATGAAAAGAAGTGTTAAACACTGTGAGTTCAATGCACACATCCCAAAGCAGTTTCTGAGAATGATTCCGTCTATTTTTTCTACGAAGATATTTCCTTTTCTGCCGTTGGCCTCAAAGCGCTTGAAATCTCCACTTGCAAATTCCACAAAAAGAGAGTTTCAAATCTGCTCTGTCTAAAGGAAGGTTCAACTCTGTGAGTTGAATACACACCACAAAAAGAAGTTACTGAGAATTCTCTGTCTAGCATTATATGAAAAATCCAGTTTCCAACGAAGGCCACAAAGAGGTCCAAATATCCACTTGCAGATTCTGCAAAAAGAGTGTTTCCAAACTGCTCTATGAAAAGAAACGTTAAACTCTGTGAGTTGAACGCAAACATCACAAAGTAGTTTCTGAGAATGACTCCGTCTAGTTTTTATACGAAGATATTTCCTTTTCTACCGTTGGCCTCAAAGCGCTTGAAGTCTCCCCCTGAAAATTCCACAACAAGTGTTTCCAATCTGCTCCGCCTAAAGGAAGCTTCAGCTCTGTGAGTTGAATACCCACAACCCAAAGAAGTTACTGAGAATTCTTCTGTCTAGCATTATATGAAGAAATCCCGTTTCCAACGAAGGCCTCAAATACATCCAAATATCCAGTTGCTGACTTTACAAACTGAGTGTTTCCAAACTGCTCTATGAAAAGAAAGGTTAAACACTGTGAGTTGAACACACACGTACCAAAGTAGTTTCTGAGAATGATTCTGTCTAGTTTGCATACGAAGATATTTCCTTTTCTACCATTGGCCTCAAAGCTCTGAAATCTCCACTTGCAAATTCCACAAAAAGAGAGTTTCAAATCTGCTGTTTCTAAAGGAAAGTTCAACTCTGAGAGTTGAATACACACCAGAAAAAGCAGTTACTGAGAAGTCTTCTGTCTAGCATTATATGAAGAAATCCCATTTCCAACGAAGACTTCAAAGAGGTCCAAATATCCACTTGCAGATTCTGCAAAAAGAGTGTTTCGAAACAACTGTATGAAAAGAAAGGTTAAACACTGTGAGTTGAACGCACACATTGCAAAGCGGTTTCTGAGAATGATTCCGTCTAATTATTATACGAAGGTATTTCCTTTTCTATCATTGGCCTCAAAGCGCTTGATACCTCCACCTGAAAATTCCACAAAAAGAGTGTTTCCAATCTACTCTGTCTAAAGGAACGTTCAACTGCTGTGAGTTGAATACACACACACAGAAAGAATTCACTGAGAATTCTTCTGTCTGGCATTACATGAAGAAATCCCGTTTCCAACGAAGACCTCAAAGAGGTCCAAATATCCACTTGCAGATTCTGCAAAAAGAGTGTTTCAAAACCGCTCCATTAAAAGGAATGTTGAACTCTGTGAGTTGAATGCAAACATCACAACTCAGTTGCTGAGAATGCTTCTGACTAGATTTTATGGTAAGATATTTCCTTTTCTACCGTAGGCTTCAATGCCCTCTAAATACACCCTTGCAAATTCTACAAAGAGACTGTTTCATAACTGCTCTATAGGAAGAAAGGTTCAACTCTGTGAGTTGAATGCAGAGATCACAACGTGGTTTCTGCGAATGATTCTTTGTAGTTTTTACATGAAGATATTTCGTTGTCTACCGTAGCGCTTCAAAGCACTCAAAGTATTCACTTGGAACTTTTACAAATGAGTGTTAGAAAACTGCTCTTTCCAAAGTAAGGTTCAACTCTGTGAGTTGAATGCACACATAACAAACAAGAAGTTTCTGAGAATTCTTCTGTCCTGGTTTATATGAAAAAATCCCGTTTCCAACGAAGGCCTCAAACACGTTTAAATATCCACTTGCAGACTTCACAAACAGAGGGTTTCCAAACTGCTCTATGAAAAGAAAGGTTAAACTCTGTGAGTTTAATACACACATCACAAAGCAGTTTCTGAGAATGATACTGTCTAGTTTTTATACGAAGATATTTCCTTTCTACCATTGGCGTCAAAGCGCTAGAATTCTCCACTTGCAAATTCCACAAAAAGAGTGTTTCCAATCTGCTCTGTCTAAAGGAAGGTTCAACTCTGTGAGTTGAATACACACACACAAAGAAGCTACTGAGAATTCTTTTGTCAAGAATTATAAGAAGAAATCCCGTTTCCAACGAAGGCCTCAAAGAGTTCCAAATATCCACTTGCACACTGCACAAACTAAGTCTTTCCAAACTGCTCTATGCAAAGAAATGTTCAACTCTGTGAGTTTAATACACACATCACAAAGCAGTTTCTGAGAATGATACTGTCTAGTTTTTATACGAAGATATTTCCTTTTGTACCATTGGCCTCATACTGCTAGAATTTTCCACTTGCAAATTCCACAAAAAGAGTGTTTCCAATCCGCTCTGTCTAAAGGAAGGTTCAACTCTCTGATTTGAATACATACATCCCAAAAGAAGTTACTGAGAATTCTTCTGTCTAGCATTATGTGAAGAAATCCCGTTTCCAACGAAAGCCTCAAAGAGGTCCAAATATCCAGTTGCAGAATTTACAAACTGACTGTTTCCAAACTCATCTATGAAAAGAAAGGTTAAACTCTGTGAGTTGAATGCACATATCACAAAGTAGTTCCTGAGAATGATTCTGTCTAGTTTTTTTACGAAGATATTTCCTTTTCCACCAATGGCCTCAAAGTGCTTGAAATCTCCCCTTGCAAATTCCACAGACAAGTGTTTCAAATCTGCACTGTCTAAAGGAAGGTTCAACCCTGTGAGTTGAATACACACACACAGAAACAAATTCACTGAGAATTCTATTGTCTATCATTACACGAAGAAATCCCGTTTACTACGAAGGCCTCAAAGAGGTCCAAATATCCAGCTGCAGACATTTCAAACTGAGTGTTTCCAAAGTGCTCTATGAAAAGAAGTGTTAAACACTGTGAGTTCAATGCACACATCCCAAAGCAGTTTCTGAGAATGATTCCGTCTATTTTTTCTACGAAGATATTTCCTTTTCTACCGTTGGCCTCAAAGCGCTTGAAATCTCCACTTGCAAATTCCACAAAAAGAGAGTTTCAAATCTGCTCTGTCTAAAGGAAGGTTCAACTCTGTGAGTTGAATACACACCACAAAAAGAAGTTACTGAGAATTCTTCTGTCTAGCATTATATGAAAAATCCCGTTTCCAACGAAGGCCACAAAGAGGTCCAAATATCCACTTGCAGATTCTGCAAAAAGAGTGTTTCCAAACTGCTCTATGAAAAGAAACGTTAAACTCTGTGAGTTGAACGCAAACATCACAAAGTAGTTTCTGAGAATGACTCCGTCTAGTTTTTATACGAAGATATTTCCTTTCCTACCATTCACTTCAAAGCGCTTGAAGTCTCCCCCTGAAAATTCCACAAAAAGTGTTTCCAATCTGCTCCGCCTAAAGGAAGCTTCAACTCTGTGACTTGAATACCCACAACCCAAAGAAGTTACTGAGAATTCTTCTGTCTAGCATTATATGAAGAAATCCCGTTTCCAACGAAGGCCTCAAATACATCCAAATATCCAGTTGCTGACTTTACAAACTGAGTGTTTCCAAACTGCTCTATGAAAAGAAAGGTTAAACACTGTGAGTTGAACACACACGTACCAAAGTAGTTTCTGAGAATGATTCTGTCTAGTTTGCATACGAAGATATTTCCTTTTCTACCATTGGCCTCAAAGCTCTGAAATCTCCACTTGCAAATTCCACAAAAAGAGAGTTTCAAATCTGCTGTTTCTAAAGGAAAGTTCAACTCTGAGAGTTGAATACACACCAGAAAAAGCAGTTACTGAGAAGTCTTCTGTCTAGCATTATATGAAGAAATCCCATTTCCAACGAAGACTTCAAAGAGGTCCAAATATCCACTTGCAGATTCTGCAAAAAGAGTGTTTCGAAACAACTGTATGAAAAGAAAGGTTAAACACTGTGAGTTGAACGCACACATTGCAAAGCAGTTTCTGAGAATGATTCCGTCTAATTATTATACGAAGGTATTTCCTTTTCTATCATTGGCCTCAAAGCGCTTGATACCTCCACCTGAAAATTCCACAAAAACAGTGTTTCCAATCTACTCTGTCTAAAGGAACGTTCAACTCTGTGAGTTGAATACACACACACAGAAAGAATTCACTGAGAATTCTTCTGTCTGGCATTACATGAAGAAATCCCGTTTCCAACGAAGGCCTCAAAGAGGTCCAAATATCCACTTGCAGATTCTGCAAAAAGAGTGTTTCAAAACCGCTCCATTAAAAGGAATGTTGAACTCTGTGAGTTGAATGCAAACATCACAACTCAGTTTCTGAGAATGCTTCTGACTAGATTTTATGGCAAGATATTTCCTTTTCTACCGTAGGCTTCAATGCCCTGTAAATACACCCTTGCAAATTCTACAAAGAGACTGTTTCATAACTGCTCTATAGGAGGAAAGGTTCAACTCTGTGAGTTGAATGCAGAGATCACAACGTGGTTTCTGCGAATGATTCTTTGTAGTTTTTACATGAAGATATTTCGTTGTCTACCGTAGGCTTCAAAGCACTCAAAGTATTCACATGGAACTTTCACAAAAAGAGTGTTAGAAAAATGCTCTTTCCAAAGTAAGGTTCAACTCTGTGATTTGAATGCACACATAACAAACAAGAAGTTTCTGAGAATTCTTCTGTCCTGGTTTATATGAAGAAATCCCGTTTCCAACGAAGGCCTCAAAGACGTTTAAATATCCACTTGCAGACTTCACAAACAGAGTGTTTCCAAACTGCTCTATGAAAAGAAAGGGTAAACACTTTGAGTTGAACGCACACATCACAAAGTAGTTTCTGAGAATGATACTGTCTAGTTTTTATACGAAGATATTTCCTTTTGTACCCCTGGCCTCAAATCGCTAGAATTCTCCACTTGCAAATTCCACAAAAAGAGTGTTTCCAATCTGCTCTGTCTAAAGGAAGGTTCAACTCTGTGAGTTGAATACACACACACACAAAGAAGCTACTGAGAATTCTTTTGTCAAGAATTATAAGAAGAAATCCCGTTTCCAACGAAGGCCTCAAAGAGTTCCAAATATCCACTTGCACACTGCACAAACTAAGTCTTTCCAAACTGCTCTATGCAAAGAAATGTTCAACTCTGTGAGTTTAATACACACATCACAAAGCAGTTTACTGAGAATGATATCCGTCTAGTTTTTATACGAAGTTAGCCTTTTCTACCATTGGCCTCAAGGCTCTTGAAATCTCCACCTGAAAATTCCGCAAAAAGCGTGTTTCCAATCCGCTCTGTCTAAAGGAAGGTTCAACTCTCTGAGTTGAATACATACATCCCAAAAGAAGTTACTGCGAATTCTTCTGTCTAGCATTATGTGAAGAAATCCCGTTTCCAACGAAAGCCTCAAAGAGGTCCAAATATCCAGTTGCAGAATTTACAAACTGACTGTTTCCAAACTCATCTATGAAAAGAAAGGTTAAACTCTGGGAGTTGAATGCACATATCACAAAGTAGTTCCTGAGAATGATTCTGTCTAGTTTTTATACGAAGATATTTCCTTTTCCACCAATGGCCTCAAAGTGCTTGAAATCTCCCCTTGCAAATTCCACAGAAAAGTGTTTCAAATCTGCACTGTCTGAAGGAAGGTTCAACCCTGTGAGTTGAATACACACACACAGAAAAAAATTCACTGAGAATTCTATTGTCTATCATTACACGAAGAAATCCCGTTTACTACGAAGGCCTCAAAGAGGTCCAAATATCCAGCTGCAGACATTATAAACTGAGTGTTTCCAAAGTGCTCTATGAAAAGAAGTGTTAAACACTGTGAGTTCAATGCACACATCCCAAAGCAGTTTCTGAGAATGATTCCGTCTATTTTTTCTACGAAGATATTTCCTTTTCTGCCGTTGGCCTCAAAGCGCTTGAAATCTCCACTTGCAAATTCCACAAAAAGAGAGTTTCAAATCTGCTCTGTCTAAAGGAAGGTTCAACTCTGTGAGTTGAATACACACCACAAAAAGAAGTTACTGAGAATTCTTCTGTCTAGCATTATATGAAAAATCCCGTTTCCAACGAAGGCCACAAAGAGGTCCAAATATCCACTTGCAGATTCTGCAAAAAGAGTGTTTCCAAACTGCTCTATGAAAAGAAACGTTAAACTCTGTGAGTTGAACGCAAACATCACAAAGTAGTTTCTGAGAATGACTCCGTCTAGTTTTTATACGAAGATATTTCCTTTCCTACCATTCACTTCAAAGCGCTTGAAGTCTCCCCCTGAAAATTCCACAAAAAGTGTTTCCAATCTGCTCCGCCTAAAGGAAGCTTCAACTCTGTGAGTTGAATACCCACAACCCAAAGAAGTTACTGAGAATTCTTCTGTCTAGCATTATATGAAGAAATCCCGTTTCCAACGAAGGCCTCAAATACATCCAAATATCCAGTTGCTGACTTTACAAACTGAGTGTTTCCAAACTGCTCTATGAAAAGAAAGGTTAAACACTGTGAGTTGAACACACACGTACCAAAGTAGTTTCTGAGAATGATTCTGTCTAGTTTGCATACGAAGATATTTCCTTTTCTACCATTGGCCTCAAAGCTCTGAAATCTCCACTTGCAAATTCCACAAAAAGAGAGTTTCAAATCTGCTGTTTCTAAAGGAAAGTTCAACTCTGAGAGTTGAATACACACCAGAAAAAGCAGTTACTGAGAAGTCTTCTGTCTAGCATTATGTGAAGAAATCCCATTTCCAACGAAGACTTCAAAGAGGTCCGAATATCCACTTGCAGATTCTGCAAAAAGAGTGTTTCGAAACAACTGTATGAAAAGAAAGGTTAAACACTGTGAGTTGAACGCACACATTGCAAAGCAGTTTCTGAGAATGATTCCGTCTAATTATTATACGAAGGTATTTCCTTTTCTATCATGGGCCTCAAAGCGCTTGATACCTCCACCTGAAAATTCCACAAAAAGAGTGTTTCCAATCTACTCTGTCTAAAGGAACGTTCAACTCTGTGAGTTGAATACACACACACAGAAAGAATTCACTGAGAATTCTTCTGTCTGGCATTACATGAAGAAATCCCGTTTCCAACGAAGGCCTCAAAGAGGTCCAAATATACACTTGCAGTTTCTGCAAAAAGAGTGTTTCAATACCGCTCTATTAAAAGGAATGTGGAACTCTGTGAGTTGAATGCAAACATCACAACACAGTTTCTGAGAATGCTTCTGACTAGATTTTATGGTCAGATATTTCCTTTTCTACCGTAGGCTTCAATGCCCTCTAAATACACCCTTGCAAATTCTACAAAGAGACTGTTTAATAACTGCTCTATAGGAAGAAAGGTTGAACACTGTGAGTTGAATGCAGAGATCACAACGTGGTTTCTGCGAATGATTCTTTGTAGTTTTTACATGAAGATATTTCGTTGTCTACTGTAGGCTTCAAAGCACTCAAAGTATTCACTTGGAACTTTTACAAAAAGAGTGTTAGGAAACTGCTCTTTCCAAAGTAAGGTTCAACTCTGTGAGTTGAATGCACACATAACAAACAAGAAGTTTCTGAGGATTCTTCTGTCCTGGTTTATATGAAAAAATCCCGTTTCCAACGAAGGCCTCAAAGACGTTTAAATATCCACTTGCAGACTTCACAAACAGAGGGTTTCCAAACTGCTCTATGAAAAGAAAGGTTAAACTCTGTGAGTTGAACGCACACATCACAAAGTAGCTTCTGAGAATGATACTGTCTAGTTTTTATACGGAGATATTTCCTTTCCTTCCATTTGCGTCAAAGCGCTAGAATTCTCCACTTGCAAATTCCACAAAAAGAGTGTTTCCAATCTGCTCTGTCTAAAGGAAGGTTCAACTCTGTGAGTTGAATACACACACACAAAGAAGCTACTGAGAATTCTTTTGTCAAGAATTATAAGAAGAAATCCCGTTTCCAACGAAGGCCACAAAGAGTTCCAAATATCCACTTGCACACTGTACAAACTAAGTCTTTCTAAACTGCTCTATGCAAAGAAATGTTCAACCCTGTGAGTTTAATGCACACATCAGAAAGCAGTTTCTGAGAATGATTCCCTCTAGTTTTCATACGAAGATAGCCTTTTCTACCATTGGCCTCAAGGCTCTTGGAATCTCCACCTGAAAATTCCGCAAAAAGCTTGTTTCCAATGCGCTCTGTCTAAAGGAAGGTTCAACTCTCTGAGTTGAATACATACATCCCAAAAGAAGTTACTGCGAATTCTTCTGTCTAGCATTATGTGAAGAAATCCCGTTTCCAACGAAAGCCTCAAAGAGGTCCTAATATCCAGTTGCAGAATTTACAAACTGACTGTTTCCAAACTCATCTATGAAAAGAAAGGTTAAACCCTGTGAGTTGAATGCACATATCACAAAGTAGTTCCTGAGAATGATTCTGTCTAGTTTTTATACGAAGATATTTCCTTTTCCACCAATGGCCTCAAAGTGCTTGAAATCTCCCCTTGCAAATTCCACAGACAAGTGTTTCAAATCTGCACTGTCTAAAGGAAGGTTCAACCCTGTGAGTTGAATACACACACACAGAAAAAAATTCACTGAGAATTCTATTGTCTATCATTACACGAAGAAATCCCGTTTACTACGAAGGCCTCAAAGAGGTCCAAATATCCAGCTGCAGACATTACAAACTGAGTGTTTCCAAAGTGCTCTATGAAAAGAAGTGTTAAACACTGTGAGTTCAATGCACACATCCCAAAGCAGTTTCTGAGAATGATTCCGTCTATTTTTTCTACGAAGATATTTCCTTTTCTACCGTTGGCCTCAAAGCGCTTGAAATCTCCACTTGCAAATTCCACAAAAAGAGAGTTTCAAATCTGCTCTGTCTAAAGGAAGGTTCAACTCTGTGAGTTGAATACACACCACAAAAAGAAGTTACTGAGAATTCTTCTGTCTAGCATTATATGAAAAATCCCGTTTCCAACGAAGGCCACAAAGAGGTCCAAATATCCACTTGCAGATTCTGCAAAAAGAGTGTTTCCAAACTGCTCTATGAAAAGAAACGTTAAACTCTGTGAGTTGAACGCAAACATCACAAAGTAGTTTCTGAGAATGACTCCGTCTAGTTTTTATACGAAGATATTTCCTTTCCTACCATTCACTTCAAAGCGCTTGAAGTCTCACCCTGAAAATTCCACAAAAAGTGTTTCCAATCTGCTCCGCCTAAAGGAAGCTTCAACTCTGTGAGTTGAATACCCACAACCCAAAGAAGTTACTGAGAATTCTTCTGTCTAGCATTACATGAAGAAATCCCGTTTCCAACGAAGGCCTCAAATACATCCAAATATCCAGTTGCTGACTTTACAAACTGAGTGTTTCCAAACTGCTCTATGAAAAGAAAGGTTAAACACTGTGAGTTGAACACACACGTACCAAAGTAGTTTCTGAGAATGATTCTGTCTAGTTTGCATACGAAGATATTTCCTTTTCTACCATTGGCCTCAAAGCTCTGAAATCTCCACTTGCAAATTCCACAAAAAGAGAGTTTCAAATCTGCTGTTTCTAAAGGAAAGTTCAACTCTGAGAGTTGAATACACACCAGAAAAAGCAGTTACTGAGAAGTCTTCTGTCTAGCATTATATGAAGAAATCCCATTTCCAACGAAGACTTCAAAGAGGTCCAAATATCCACTTGCAGATTCTGCAAAAAGAGTGTTTCGAAACAACTGTATGAAAAGAAAGGTTAAACACTGTGAGTTGAACGCACACATTGCAAAGCGGTTTCTGAGAATGATTCCGTCTAATTATTATACGAAGGTATTTCCTTTTCTATCATTGGCCTCAAAGCGCTTGATACCTCCACCTGAAAATTCCACAAAAAGAGTGTTTCCAATCTACTCTGTCTAAAGGAACGTTCAACTCCGTGAGTTGAATACACACACACAGAAAGAATTCACTGAGAATTCTTCTGTCTGGCATTACATGAAGAAATCCCGTTTCCAACGAAGGCCTCAAAGAGGTCCAAATATCCACTTGCAGATTCTGCAAAAAGAGTGTTTCAAAACCGCTCCATTAAAAGGAATGTTGAACTCTGTGAGTTGAATGCAAACATCACAACTCAGTTTCTGAGAATGCTTCTGACTAGATTTTATGGTAAGATATTTCCTTTTCTACCGTAGGCTTCAATGCCCTCTAAATACACCCTTGCAAATTCTAGAAAGAGACTGTTTCATAACTGCTCTATAGGAAGAAAGGTTGAACTCTGTGAGTTGAATGCAGAGATCACAACGTGGTTTCTGCGAATGATTCTTTGTAGTTTTTACATGAAGATATTTCGTTGTCAACCGTAGGCTTCAAAGCACTCAAAGTATTCACTTGGAACTTTTACAAAAAGAGTGTTAGAAAACTGCTCTTTCCAAAGTAAGGTTCAACTCTGTGAGTTGAATGCACACATAACAATCAAGAAGTTTCTGAGAATTCTTCTGTCCTGGTTTATATGAAAAAATCCCGTTTCCAACGAAGGCCTCAAAGACGTTTAAATATCCACTTGCAGACTTCACAAACAGAGGGTTTCCAAACTGCTCTATGAAAAGAAAGGTTAAACTCTGTGAGTTGAACGCACACATCACAAAGTAGCTTCTGAGAATGATACTGTCTAGTTTTTATACGAAGATATTTCCTTTCTACCATTGGCGTCAAAGCGCTAGAATTCTCCACTTGCAAATTCCACAAAAAGTGTGTTTCCAATCTGCTCTGTCTAAAGGAAGGTTCAACTCTGTGAGTTGAATACACACACACAAAGAAGCTACTGAGAATTCTTTTGTCAAGAATTATAAGAAGAAATCCCGTTTCCAACGAAGGCCTCAAAGAGTTCCAAATATCCACTTGCACACTGCAAAAACTAAGTCTTTCCAAACTGCTCTATGCAAAGAAATGTTCAACTCTGTGAGTTTAATTCACACATCACAAAGCAGTTTCTGAGAATGATACTGTCTAGTTTTTATACGAAGATATTTCCTTTTGTACCATTGGCCTCATACTGCTAGAATTTTCCACTTGCAAATTCCACAAAAAGAGTGTTTCCAATCCGCTCTGTCTAAAGGAAGGTTCAACTCTCTGATTTGAATACATACATCCCAAAAGAAGTTACTGAGAATTCTACTGTCTAGCATTATGTGAAGAAATCCCGTTTCCAACGAAAGCCTCAAAGAGGTCCAAATATCCAGTTGCAGAATTTACAAACTGACTGTTTCCAAACTCATCTATGAAAAGAAAGGTTAAACTCTGTGAGTTGAATGCACATATCACAAAGTAGTTCCTGAGAATGATTCTGTCTAGTTTTTATACGAAGATATTTCCTTTTCCAC
This sequence comes from Homo sapiens, assembly GCF_000001405.40. Classification (NCBI taxonomy): domain Eukaryota; kingdom Metazoa; phylum Chordata; class Mammalia; order Primates; family Hominidae; genus Homo; species Homo sapiens. The sequence continues at coordinate 93,515,367 of NC_000003.12, read as the reverse complement.
CAATGGCCTCAAAGTGCTTGAAATCTCCCCTTGCAAATTCCACAGACAAGTGTTTCAAATCTGCACTGTCTAAAGGAAGGTTCAACCCTGTGAGTTGAATACACACACACAGAAAAAAATTCACTGAGAATTCTATTGTCTATCATTACACGAAGAAATCCCGTTTACTACGAAGGCCTCAAAGAGGTCCAAATATCCAGCTGCAGACATTACAAACTGAGTGTTTCCAAAGTGCTCTATGAAAAGAAGTGTTAAACACTGTGAGTTCAATGCACACATCCCAAAGCAGTTTCTGAGAATGATTCCGTCTATTTTTTCTACGAAGATATTTCCTTTTCTACCGTTGGCCTCAAAGCGCTTGAAATCTCCACTTGCAAATTCCACAAAAAGAGAGTTTCAAATCTGCTCTGTCTAAAGGAAGGTTCAACTCTGTGAGTTGAATACACACCACAAAAAGAAGTTACTGAGAATTCTTCTGTCTAGCATTATATGAAAAATCCCGTTTCCAACGAAGGCCACAAAGAGGTCCAAATATCCACTTGCAGATTCTGCAAAAAGAGTGTTTCCAAACTGCTCTATGAAAAGAAACGTTAAACTCTGTGAGTTGAACGCAAACATCACAAAGTAGTTTCTGAGAATGACTCCGTCTAGTTTTTATACGAAGATATTTCCTTTCCTACCATTCACTTCAAAGCGCTTGAAGTCTCCCCCTGAAAATTCCACAAAAAGTGTTTCCAATCTGCTCCGCCTAAAGGAAGCTTCAACTCTGTGACTTGAATACCCACAACCCAAAGAAGTTACTGAGAATTCTTCTGTCTAGCATTATATGAAGAAATCCCGTTTCCAACGAAGGCCTCAAATACATCCAAATATCCAGTTGCTGACTTTACAAACTGAGTGTTTCCAAACTGCTCTATGAAAAGAAAGGTTAAACACTGTGAGTTGAACACACACGTACCAAAGTAGTTTCTGAGAATGATTCTGTCTAGTTGGCATACGAAGATATTTCCTTTTCTACCATTGGCCTCAATGCTTTGAAATCTCCACTTGCAAATTCCACAAAAAGAGAGTTTCATATCTGCTGTTTCTAAAGGAAAGTTCAACTCTGAGAGTTGAATACACACCAGAAAAACCAGTTACTGAGAAGTCTTCTGTCTAGCATTATATGAAGAAATCCCATTTCCAACGAAGACTTCAAAGAGGTCCAAATATCCACTTGCAGATTCTGCAAAAAGAGTGTTTCGAAACAACTGTATGAAAAGAAAGGTTAAACACTGTGAGTTGAACGCACACATTGCAAAGCAGTTTCTGAGAATGATTCCGTCTAATTATTATACGAAGGTATTTCCTTTTCTATCATTGGCCTCAAAGCGCTTGATACCTCCACCTGAAAATTCCACAAAAAGAGTGTTTCCAATCTACTCTGTCTAAAGGAACGTTCAACTCTGTGAGTTGAATACACACACACAGAAAGAATTCACTGAGAATTCTTCTGTCTGGCATTACATGAAGAAATCCCGTTTCCAACGAAGGCCTCAAAGCAGGTCCAAATATCCACTTGCAGATTCTGCAAAAAGAGTGTTTCAAAACCGCTCCATTAAAAGGAATGTTGAACTCTGTGAGTTGAATGGAAACATCACAACTCAGTTGCTGAGAATGCTTCTGACTAGATTTTATGGTAAGATATTTCCTTTTCTACCGTAGGCTTCAATGCCCTCTAAATACACCCTTGCAAATTCTACAAAGAGACTGTTTAATAACTGCTCTATAGGAAGAAAGGTTGAACTCTGTGAGTTGAATGCAGAGATCACAACGTGGTTTCTGCGAATGATTCTTTGTAGTTTTTACATGAAGATATTTCGTTGTCAACCGTAGGCTTCAAAGCACTCAAAGTATTCACTTGGAACTTTTACAAAACGAGTGTTAGGAAACTGCTCTTTCCAAAGTAAGGTTCAACTCTGTGAGTTGAATGCACACATAACAATCAAGAAGTTTCTGAGAATTCTTCTGTCCTGGTTTATATGAAAAAATCCCGTTTCCAACGAAGGCCTCAAAGACGTTTAAATATCCACTTGCAGACTTCACAAACAGAGTGTTTCCAAACTGCTCTATGAAAAGAAAGGTTAAACTCTGTGAGTTGAACGCACACATCACAAAGTAGCTTCTGAGAATGATACTGTCTAGTTTTTATACGAAGATATTTCCTTTCTACCATTGGCGTCAAAGCGCTAGAATTCTCCCCTTGCAAATTCCACAAAAAGAGTGTTTCCAATCTGCTCTGTCTAAAGGAAGGTTCAACTCTGTGAGTTGAATACACACACACAAAGAAGCTACTGAGAATTCTTTTGTCAAGAATTATAAGAAGAAATCCCGTTTCCAACGAAGGCCTCAAAGAGTTCCAAATATCCACTTGCACACTGCACAAACTAAGTCTTTCCAAACTGCTCTATGCAAAGAAATGTTCAACTCTGTGAGTTTAATACACACATCACAAAGCAGTTTCTGAGAATGATACTGTCTAGTTTTTATACGAAGATATTTCCTTTTGTACCATTGGCCTCATACTGCTAGAATTTTCCACTTGCAAATTCCACAAAAAGAGTGTTTCCAATCCGCTCTGTCTAAAGGAAGGTTCAACTCTCTGATTTGAATACATACATCCCAAAAGAAGTTACTGAGAATTCTTCTGTCTAGCATTATGTGAAGAAATCCCGTTTCCAACGAAAGCCTCAAAGAGGTCCAAATATCCAGTTGCAGAATTTACAAACTGACTGTTTCCAAACTCATCTATGAAAAGAAAGGTTAAACTCTGTGAGTTGAATGCACATATCACAAAGTAGTTCCTGAGAATGATTCTGTCTAGTTTTTATACGAAGATATTTCCTTTTCCACCAATGGCCTCAAAGTGCTTGAAATCTCCCCTTGCAAATTCCACAGACAAGTGTTTCAAATCTGCACTGTCTAAAGGAAGGTTCAACCCTGTGAGTTGAATACACACACACAGAAACAAATTCACTGAGAATTCTATTGTCTATCATTACACGAAGAAATCCCGTTTACTACGAAGGCCTCAAAGAGGTCCAAATATCCAGCTGCAGACATTACAAACTGAGTGTTTCCAAAGTGCTCTATGAAAAGAAGTGTTAAACACTGTGAGTTCAATGCACACATCCCAAAGCAGTTTCTGAGAATGATTCCGTCTATTTTTTCTACGAAGATATTTCCTTTTCTGCCGTTGGCCTCAAAGCGCTTGAAATCTCCACTTGCAAATTCCACAAAAAGAGAGTTTCAAATCTGCTCTGTCTAAAGGAAGGTTCAACTCTGTGAGTTGAATACACACCACAAAAAGAAGTTACTGAGAATTCTTCTGTCTAGCATTATATGAAAAATCCCGTTTCCAACGAAGGCCACAAAGAGGTCCAAATATCCACTTGCAGATTCTGCAAAAAGAGTGTTTCCAAACTGCTCTATGAAAAGAAACGTTAAACTCTGTGAGTTGAACGCAAACATCACAAAGTAGTTTCTGAGAATGACTCCGTCTAGTTTTTATACGAAGATATTTCCTTTTCTACCGTTGGCCTCAAAGCGCTTGAAGTCTCCCCCTGAAAATTCCACAAAAAGTGTTTCCAATCTGCTCCGCCTAAAGGAAGCTTCAACTCTGTGAGTTGAATACCCACAACACAAAGAAGTTACTGAGAATTCTTCTGTCTAGCATTATATGAAGAAATCCCGTTTCCAACGAAGGCCTCAAATACATCCAAATATCCAGTTGCTGACTTTACAAACTGAGTGTTTCCAAACTGCTCTATGAAAAGAAAGGTTAAACACTGTGAGTTGAACACACACGTACCAAAGTAGTTTCTGAGAATGATTCTGTCTAGTTTGCATACGAAGATATTTCCTTTTCTACCATTGGCCTCAAAGCTCTGAAATCTCCACTTGCAAATTCCACAAAAAGAGAGTTTCAACTCTGCTGTTTCTAAAGGAAAGTTCAACTCTGAGAGTTGAATACACACCAGAAAAAGCAGTTACTGAGAAGTCTTCTGTCTAGCATTATATGAAGAAATCCCATTTCCAACGAAGACTTCAAAGAGGTCCAAATATCCACTTGCAGATTCTGCAAAAAGAGTGTTTCGAAACAACTGTATGAAAAGAAAGGTTAAACACTGTGAGTTGAACGCACACATTGCAAAGCAGTTTCTGAGAATGATTCCGTCTAATTATTATACGAAGGTATTTCCTTTTCTATCATTGGCCTCAAAGCGCTTGATACCTCCACCTGAAAATTCCACAAAAAGAGTGTTTCCAATCTACTCTGTCTAAAGGAACGTTCAACTCTGTGAGTTGAATACACACACACAGAAAGAATTCACTGAGAATTCTTCTGTCTGGCATTACATGAAGAAATCCCGTTTTCAACGAAGGCCTCAAAGAGGTCCAAATATCCACTTGCAGATTCTGCAAAAAGAGTGTTTCAAAACCGCTCCATGAAAAGGAATGTTGAACTCTGTGAGTTGAATGCAAACATCACAACTCAGTTTCTGAGAATGCTTCTGACTAGATTTTATGGTAAGATATTTCCTTTTCTACCGTAGGCTTCAATGCCCTCTAAATACACCCTTGCAAATTCTACAAAGAGACTGTTTCATAACTGCTCTATAGGAAGAAAGGTTCAACACTGTGAGTTGAATGCAGAGATCACAACGTGGTTTCTGCGAATGATTCTTTGTAGTTTTTACATGAAGATATTTCGTTGTCAACCGTAGGCTTCAAAGCACTCAAAGTATTCACTTGGAACTTTTACAAAAAGAGTGTTAGAAAACTGCTCTTTCCAAAGTAAGGTTCAACTCTGTGAGTTGAATGCACACATAACAATCAAGAAGTTTCTGAGAATTCTTCTGTCCTGGTTTATATGAACAAATCCCGTTTCCAACGAAGGCCTCAAAGACGTTTAAATATCCACTTGCAGACTTCACAAACAGAGTGTTTCCAAACTGCTCTATGAAAAGAAAGGCTAAACTCTGTGAGTTGAACGCGCACATCACAAAGTAGTTTCTGAGAATGATACTGTCTAGTTTTTATACGAAGATATTTCCTTTCTACCATTGGCGTCAAAGAGCTAGAATTCTCCACTTGCAAATTCCACAAAAAGAGTGTTTCCAATCTGCTCTGTCTAAAGGAAGGTTCAACTCTGTGAGTTGAATACACACACACAAAGAAGCTACTGAGAATTCTTTTGTCAAGAATTATAAGAAGAAATCCCGTTTCCAACGAAGGCCTCAAAGAGTTCCAAATATCCACTTGCACACTGCACAAACTAAGTCTTTCCAAACTGCTCTATGCAAAGAAATGTTCAACTCTGTGAGTTTAATACACACATCACAAAGCAGTTTCTGAGAATGATACTGTCTAGTTTTTATACGAAGATATTTCCTTTTGTACCATTGGCCTCATACTGCTAGAATTTTCCACTTGCAAATTCCACAAAAAGAGTGTTTCCAATCCGCTCTGTCTAAAGGAAGGTTCAACTCTCTGATTTGAATACATACATCCCAAAAGAAGTTACTGAGAATTCTTCTGTCTAGCATTATGTGAAGAAATCCCGTTTCCAACGAAAGCCTCAAAGAGGTCCAAATATCCAGTTGCAGAATTTACAAACTGACTGTTTCCAAACTCATCTATGAAAAGAAAGGTTAAACTCTGTGAGTTGAATGCCCATATCACAAAGTAGTTCCTGAGAATGATTCTGTCTAGTTTTCATACGAAGATATTTCCTTTTCCACCAATGGCCTCAAAGTGCTTGAAATCTCCCCTTGCAAATTCCACAGACAAGTGTTTCAAATCTGCACTGTCTAAAGGATGGTTCAACCCTGTGAGTTGAATACACACACACAGAAAAAAATTCACTGAGAATTCTATTGTCTATCATTACACGAAGAAATCCCGTTTACTACGAAGGCCTCAAAGAGGTCCAAATATCCAGCTGCAGACATTATAAACTGAGTGTTTCCAAAGTGCTCTATGAAAAGAAGTGTTAAACACTGTGAGTTCAATGCACACATCCCAAAGCAGTTTCTGAGAATGATTCCGTCTATTTTTTCTACGAAGATATTTCCTTTTCTACCGTTGGCCTCAAAGCGCTTGAAATCTCCACTTGCAAATTCCACGAAAAGAGAGTTTCAAATCTGCTCTGTCTAAAGGAAGGTTCAACTCTGTGAGTTGAATACACACCAAAAAAAGAAGTTACTGAGAATTCTTCTGTCTAGAATTATATGAAAAATCCCGTTTCCAACGAAGGCCACAAAGAGGTCCAAATATCCACTTACAGATTCTGCAAAAAGAGTGTTTCCAAACTGCTCTATGAAAAGAAACGTTAAACTCTGTGAGTTGAACGCAAACATCACAAAGTAGTTTGTGAGAATGACTCCATCTAGTTTTTATACGAAGATATTTCCTTTTCTACCGTTGGCCTCAAAGCGCTTGAAGTCTCCCCCTGAAAATTCCACAAAAAGTGTTTCCAATCTGCTCCACCTAAAGGAAGCTTCAGCTCTGTGAGTTGAATACCCACAATCCAAAGAAGTTACTGAGAATTCTTCTGTCTAGCATTACATGAAGAAATCCCGTTTCCAACGAAGGCCTCAAATACATCCAGATATCCAGTTGCTGACTTTACAAACTGAGTGTTTCCAAACTGCTCTATGAAAGGAAAGGTTAAACACTGTGAGTTGAACACACACGTACCAAAGTAGTTTCTGAGAATGATTCTGTCTAGTTTGCATACGAAGATATTTCCTTTTCTACCATTGGCCTCAAAGCTCTGAAATCTCCACTTGCGAATTCCACAAAAAGAGAGTTTCAAATCTGCTGTTTCTAAAGGAAAGTTCAACTCTGAGAGTTGAATACACACCAGAAAAAGCAGTTACTGAGAAGTCTTCTGTCTAGCATTATATGAAGAAATCCCATTTCCAACGAAGACTTCAAAGAGGTCCAAATATCCACTTGCAGATTCTGCAAAAAGAGTGTTTCGAAACAACTGTATGAAAAGAAAGGTTAAACACTGTGAGTTGAACGCACACATTGCAAAGCAGTTTCTGAGAATGATTCCGTCTAATTATTATACGAAGGTATTTCCTTTTCTATCATTGGCCTCAAAGCGCTTGATACCTCCACCTGAAAATTCCACAAAAAGAGTGTTTCCAATCTACTCTGTCTAAAGGAACGTTCAACTCTGTGAGTTGAATACACACACACAGAAAGAATTCACTGAGAATTCTTCCGTCTGGCATTACATGAAGAAATCCCGTTTCCAACGAAGGCCTCAAAGAGGTCCAAATATCCACTTGCAGATTCTGCAAAAAGAGTGTTTCAAAACCGCTCCATTAAAAGGAATGTTGAACTCTGTGAGTTGAATGCAAACATCACAACTCAGTTTCTGAGAATGCTTCTGACTAGATTTTATGGTAAGATATTTCCTTTTCTACCGTAGGCTTCAATGCCCTCTAAATACACCCTTGCAAATTCTACAAAGAGACTGCTTCATAACTGCTCTATAGGAGGAAAGGTTCAACTCTGTGAGTTGAATGCAGAGATCACAACGTGGTTTCTGCGAATGATTCTTTGTAGTTTTTACATGAAGATATTTCGTTGTCTACCGTAGGCTTCAAAGCACTCAAAGTATTCACTTGGAACTTTTACAAAAAGAGTGTTAGAAAACTGCTCTTTCCAAAGTAAGGTTCAACTCTGTGAGTTGAATGCACACATAACAAACAAGAAGTTTCTGAGAATTCTTCTGTCCTGGTTTATATGAAAAAATCCCGTTTCCAACGAAGGCCTCAAAGACGTTTAAATATCCACTTGCAGACTTCACAAACAGAGTGTTTCCAAACTGCTCTATGAAAAGAAAGGTTAAACTCTGTGAGTTGAACGCACACATCACAAAGTAGTTTCTGAGAATGATACTGTCTAGTTTTTATACGAAGATATTTCCTTTCTACCATTGGCGTCAAAGCGCTAGAATTCTCCACTTGCAAATTCCACAAAAAGAGTGTTTCCAATCTGCTCTGTCTCAAGGAAGGTTCAACTCTGTGAGTTGAATACACACACACAAAGAAGCTACTGAGAATTCTTTTGTCAAGAATTATAAGAAGAAATCCCGTTTCCAACGAAGGCCTCAAAGAGTTCCAAATATCCACTTGCACACTGCACAAACTAAGTCTTTCCAAACTGCTCTATGCAAAGAAATGTTCAACTCTGTGAGTTTAATACACACATCACAAAGCAGTTTCTGAGAATGATACTGTCTAGTTTTTATACGAAGATATTTCCTTTTGTACCATTGGCCTCATACTGCTAGAATTTTCCACTTGCAAATTCCACAAAAAGAGTGTTTCCAATCCGCTCTGTCTAAAGGAAGGTTCAACTCTGTGAGTTGAATACACACACACAAAGAAGCTACTGAGAATTCTTCTGTCTAGCATTATGTGAAGAAATCCCGTTTCCAACGAAAGCCTCAAAGAGGTCCAAATATCCAGTTGCAGAATTTACAAACTGACTGTTTCCAAACTCATCTATGAAAAGAAAGGTTGAACTCTGGGAGTTGAATGCACATATCACAAAGTAGTTCCTGAGAATGATTCTGTCTAGTTTTCATACGAAGATATTTCCTTTTCCACCAATGGCCAAAAAGTGCTTGAAATCTCCCCTTGCAAATTCCACAGACAAGTGTTTCAAATCTGCACTGTCTAAAGGAAGGTTCAACCCTGTGAGTTGAATACACACACACAGAAAAAAATTCACTGAGAATTCTATTGTCTATCATTACACGAAGAAATCCCGTTTACTACGAAGGCCTCAAAGAGGTCCAAATATCCAGCTGCAGACATTACAAACTGAGTGTTTCCAAAGTGCTCTATGAAAAGAAGTGTTAAACACTGTGAGTTCAATGCACACATCCCAAAGCAGTTTCTGAGAATGATTCCGTCTATTTTTTCTAAGAAGATATTTCCTTTTCTGCCGTTGGCCTCAAAGCGCTTGAAATCTCCACTTGCAAATTCCACAAAAAGAGAGTTTCAAATCTGCTCTGTCTAAAGGAAGGTTCAACTCTGTGAGTTGAATACACATCACAGAAAGAAGTTACTGAGAATTCTTCTGTCTAGCATTATATGAAAAACCCCGTTTCCAACGAAGGCCACAAAGAGGTCCAAATATCCACTTGCCGATTCTGCAAAAGAGTGTTTCCAAACTGCTCTATGAAAAGAAACGTTAAACTCTGTGAGTTGAACGCAAACATCACAAAGTAGTTTCTGAGAATGACTCCTGTCTAGTTTATATACGAAGATATTTCCTTTTCTACCATTCACTTCAAAGCGCTTGAAGTCTCCCCCTGAAAATTCCACAAAAAGTGTTTCCAATCTGCTCCGCCTAAAGGAAGCTTCAACTCTGTGAGTTGAATACCCACAACCCAAAGAAGTTACTGAGAATTCTTCTGTCTAGCACTATATGAAGAAATCCCGTTTCCAACGAAGGCCTCAAATACATCCAAATATCCAGTTGCTGACTTTACAAACTGAGTGTTTCCAAACTGCTCTATGAAAAGAAAGGTTAAACACTGTGAGTTGAACACACACGTACCAAAGTAGTTTCTGAGAATGATTCTGTCTAGTTTGCATACGAAGATATTTCCTTTTCTACCATTGGCCTCAAAGCTCTGAAATCTCCACTTGCAAATTCCACAAAAAGAGAGTTTCAAATCTGCTGTTTCTAAAGGAAAGTTCAACTCTGAGAGTTGAATACACACCAGAAAAAGCAGTTACTGAGAAGTCTTCTGTCTAGCATTATATGAAGAAATCCCATTTCCAACGAAGACTTCAAAGAGGTCCAAATATCCACTTGCAGATTCTGCAAAAAGAGAGTTTCGAAACAACTGTATGAAAAGAAAGGTTAAACGCTGTGAGTTGAAGGCACACATTGCAAAGCAGTTTCTGAGAATGATTCCGTCTAATTATTATACGAAGGTATTTCCTTTTCTATCATTGGCCTCAAAGCGCTTGATACCTCCACCTGAAAATTCCACAAAAAGAGTGTTTCCAATCTACTCTGTCTAAAGGAATGTTCAACTCTGTGAGTTGAATACAGACACACAGAAAGAATTCACTGAGAATTCTTCTGTCTGGCATTACATGAAGAAATCCCGTTTCCAACGAAGACCTCAAAGAGGTCCAAATATCCACTTGCAGATTTTGCACAAAGAGTGTTTCAAAACCGCTCCATTAAAAGGAATGTTGAACTCTGTGAGTTGAATGCAAACATCACAACTCAGTTTCTGAGAATGCTTCTGACTAGATTTTATGGTAAGATATTTCCTTTTATACCGTAGGCTTCAATGCCCTCTAAATACACCCTTGCAAATTCTACAAAGAGACTGTTTCATAACTGCTCTATAGGAAGAAAGGTTCAACTCTGTGAGTTGAATGCAGAGATCACAACGTGGTTTCTGCGAATGATTCTTTGTAGTTTTTACATGAAGATATTTCGTTGTCAACCGTAGGCTTCAAAGCACTCAAAGTATTCACTTGGAAATTTTACAAAAAGAGTGTTAGAAAACTGCTCTTTCCAAAGTAAGGTTCAACTCTGTGAGTTGAATGCACCCATAACAATCAAGAAGTTTCTGAGAATTCTTCTGTCCTGGTTTATATGAAAAAATCCCGTTTCCAACGAAGGCCTCAAAGACGTTTAAATATCCACATGCAGACTTCACAAACAGAGTGTTTCCAAACTGCTCTATGAAAAGAAAGGTTAAACTCTGTGAGTTGAACGCACACATCACAAATAGTTTCTGAGAATGATACTGTCTAGTTTTTATACGAAGATATTTCCTTTCTACCATTGGCGTCAAAGCGCTAGAATTCTCCACTTGCAAATTCCACAAAAAGAGTGTTTCCAATCTGCTCTGTCTAAAGGAAGGTTCAACTCTGTGAGTTGAATACACACACACAAAGAAGCTACTGAGAATTCTTTTGTCAAGAATTATAAGAAATCCCGTTTCCAACGAAGGCCTCAAAGAGTTCCAAATATCCACTTGCAGACTGTACAAACTAAGTCTTTCCAAACTGCTCTATGAAAAAGAAATGTTCAACTCTGTGAGTTTAATGCACACATCACAAAGCAGTTTCTGAGAATGATTCCGTCTACTTTTTATACGAAGATAGCCTTTTCTACCATTGGCCTCAAAGCTCTTGAAATCTCCACCTGAAAATTCGGCAAATAGAGGGTTTCCAATCTGCTCTGTCTAAAGGAAGGTTCAACTCTCTGAGTTGAATACACACAACCCATAAGAAGTTACTTAGAATTCTTCTGTCTAGAATTATGTGAAGAAATCCCGTTTCCAACGAAAGCCTCAAAGAGGTCCAAATATCCAGTTGCAGAATTACAAACTGAGTGTTTCCAAACTCCTCTATGAAAAGAAAGGTTAAACTCTGTGAGTTGAATGCACATATCACAAAGTAGTTCCTGAGAATGATTCTGTCTAGTTTTCATACGAAGATATTTCCTTTTCCACCAATGGCCTCAAAGTGCTTGAAATCTCCCCTTGCAAATTCCACAGACAAGTGTTTCAAATCTGCACTGTCTAAAGGAAGGTTCAACCCTGTGAGTTGAATACACACACACAGAAAAAAATTCACTGAGAATTCTATTGTCTATCATTACACGAAGAAATCCCGTTTACTACGAAGGCCTCAAAGATGTCCAAATATCCAGCTGCAGACATTACAAACTGAGTGTTTCCAAAGTGCTCTATGAAAAGAAGTGTTAAACACTGTGAGTTCAATGCACACATCCCAAAGCAGTTTCTGAGAATGATTCCGTCTATTTTTTCTACGAAGATATTTCCTTTTCTGCCGTTGGCCTCAAAGCGCTTGAAATCTCCACTTGCAAATTCCACAAAAAGAGAGTTTCAAATCTGCTCTGTCTAAAGGAAGGTTCAACTCTGTGAGTTGAATACACACCACAAAAAGAAGTTACTGAGAATTCTTCTGTCTAGCATTATATGAAAAATCCCGTTTCCAACGAAGGCCACAAAGAGGTCTAAATATCCACTTGCAGATTCTGCAAAAAGAGTGTTTCCAAACTGCTCTATGAAAAGAAACGTTAAACTCTGTGAGTTGAACGCAAACATCACAAAGTAGTTTCTGAGAATGACTCCGTCTAGTTTTTATACGAAGATATTTCCTTTTCTACCATTCACTTCAAAGCGCTTGAAGTCTCCCCCTGAAAATTCCACAAAAAGTGTTTCCAATCTGCTCCGCCTAAAGGAAGCTTCAACTCTGTGAGTTGAATACCCACAACCCAAAGAAGTTACTGAGAATTCTTCTGTCTAGCACTATATGAAGAAATCCCGTTTCCAACGAAGGCCTCAAATACATCCAAATATCCAGTTGCTGACTTTACAAACTGAGTGTTTCCAAACTGCTCTATGAAAAGAAAGGTTAAACACTGTGAGTTGAACACACACGTACCAAAGTAGTTTCTGAGAATGATTCTGTCTAGTTTGCATACGAAGATATTTCCTTTTCTACCATTGGCCTCAAAGCTCTGAAATCTCCACTTGCAAATTCCACAAAAAGAGAGTTTCAAATCTGCTGTTTCTAAAGGAAAGTTCAACTCTGAGAGTTGAATACACACCAGAAAAAGCAGTTACTGAGAAGTCTTCTGTCTAGCATTATATGAAGAAATCCCATTTCCAACGAAGACTTCAAAGAGGTCCAAATATCCACTTGCAGATTCTGCAAAAAGAGTGTTTCGAAACAACTGTATGAAAAGAAAGGTTAAACACTGTGAGTTGAACGCACACATTGCAAAGCGGTTTCTGAGAATGATTCCGTCTAATTATTATACGAAGGTATTTCCTTTTCTATCATTGGCCTCAAAGCGCTTGATACCTCCACCTGAAAATTCCACAAAAAGAGTGTTTCCAATCTACTCTGTCTAAAGGAACGTTCAACTCTGTGAGTTGAATACACACACACAGAAAGAATTCACTGAGAATTCTTCTGTCTGGGATTACATGAAGAAATCCCGTTTCCAACGAAGGCCTCAAAGAGGTCCAAATATCCACTTGCAGATTCTGGAAAAAGAGTGTTTCAAAACCGCTCTATGAAAAGGAATGTTGAACTCTGTGAGTTGAATGCAAACATCACAACTCAGTTTCTGAGAATGCTTCTGACTAGATTTTATGGTAAGATATTTCCTTTTCTACCGTAGGCTTCAATGCCCTGTAAATACACCCTTGCAAATTCTACAAAGAGACTGCTTCATAACTGCTCTATAGGAGGAAAGGTTCAACTCTGTGAGTTGAATGCAGAGATCACAACGTGGTTTCTGCGAATGATTCTTTGTAGTTTTTACATGAAGATATTTCGTTGTCAACCGTAGGCTTCAAAGCACTCAAAGTATTCACTTGGAACTTTTACAAAAAGAGTGTTAGAAAACTGCTCTTTCCAAAGTAAGGTTCAACTCTGTGAGTTGAATGCACACATAACAATCAAGAAGTTTCTGAGAATTCTTCTGTCCTGGTTTATATGAAAAAATCCCGTTTCCAACGAAGGCCTCAAAGACGTTTAAATATCCACTTGCAGACTTCACAAACAGAGGGTTTCCAAACTGCTCTATGAAAAGAAAGGTTAAACTCTGTGAGTTGAACGCACACATCACAAAGTAGCTTCTGAGAATGATACTGTCTAGTTTTTATACGGAGATATTTCCTTTCCTACCATTGGCGTCAAAGCGCTAGAATTCTCCACTTGCAAATTCCACAAAAAGTGGGTTTCCAATCTGCTCTGCCTAAAGGAAGGTTCAACTCTGTGAGTTGAATACACACACACAAAGAAGCTACTGAGAATTCTTTTGTCAAGAATTATAAGAAGAAATCCCGTTTCCAACGAAGGCCTCAAAGAGTTCCAAATATCCACTTGCACACTGCACAAACTAAGTCTTTCCAAACTGCTCTATGCAAAGAAATGTTCAACTCTGTGAGTTTAATACACACATCACAAAGCAGTTTCTGAGAATGATACTGTCTAGTTTTTATACGAAGATATTTCCTTTTGTACCATTGGCCTCATACTGCTAGAATTTTCCACTTGCAAATTCCACAAAAAGAGTGTTTCCAATCCGCTCTGTCTAAAGGAAGGTTCAACTCTCTGATTTGAATACATACATCCCAAAAGAAGTTACTGAGAATTCTTCTGTCTAGCATTATGTGAAGAAATCCCGTTTCCAACGAAAGCCTCAAAGAGGTCCAAATATCCAGTTGCAGAATTTACAAACTGACTGTTTCCAAACTCATCTATGAAAAGAAAGGTTAAACTCTGGGAGTTGAATGCACATATCACAAAGTAGTTCCTGAGAATGATTCTGTCTAGTTTTTATACGAAGATATTTCCTTTTCCACCAATGGCCTCAAAGTGCTTGAAATCTCCCCTTGCAAATTCCACAGACAAGTGTCTCAAATCTGCACTGTCTAAAGGAAGGTTCAACCCTGTGAGTTGAATACACACACACAGAAAAAAATTCACTGAGAATTCTATTGTCTATCATTACACGAAGAAATCCCGTTTACTACGAAGGCCTCAAAGAGGTCCAAATATCCAGCTGCAGACATTACAAACTGAGTGTTTCCAAAGTGCTCTATGAAAAGAAGTGTTAAACACTGTGAGTTCAATGCACACATCCCAAAGCAGTTTCTGAGAATGATTCCGTCTATTTTTTCTACGAAGATATTTCCTTTTCTGCCGTTGGCCTCAAAGCGCTTGAAATCTCCACTTGCAAATTCCACAAAAAGAGAGTTTCAAATCTGCTCTGTCTAAAGGAAGGTTCAACTCTGTGAGTTGAATACACACCACAAAAAGAAGTTACTGAGAATTCTTCTGTCTAGCATTATATGAAAAATCCCGTTTCCAACGAAGGCCACAAAGAGGTCCAAATATCCACTTGCAGATTCTGCAAAAAGAGTGTTTCCAAACTGCTCTATGAAAAGAAACGTTAAACTCTGTGAGTTGAACGCAAACATCACAAAGTAGTTTCTGAGAATGACTCCGTCTAGTTTTTATACGAAGATATTTCCTTTCCTCCCATTCACTTCAAAGCGCTTGAAGTCTCCCCCTGAAAATTCCACAAAAAGTGTTTCCAATCTGCTCCGCCTAAAGGAAGCTTCAACTCTGTGAGTTGAATACCCACAACCCAAAGAAGTTACTGAGAATTCTTCTGTCTAGCACTATATGAAGAAATCCCGTTTCCAACGAAGGCCTCAAATACATCCAAATATCCAGTTGCTGACTTTACAAACTGAGTGTTTCCAAACTGCTCTATGAAAAGAAAGGTTAAACACTGTGAGTTGAACACACACGTACCAAAGTAGTTTCTGAGAATGATTCTGTCTAGTTTGCATACGAAGATATTTCCTTTTCTACCATTGGCCTCAAAGCTCTGAAATCTCCACTTGCAAATTCCACAAAAAGAGAGTTTCAAATCTGCTGTTTCTAAAGGAAAGTTCAACTCTGAGAGTTGAATACACACCAGAAAAAGCAGTTACTGAGAAGTCTTCTGTCTAGCATTATATGAAGAAATCCCATTTCCAACGAAGACTTCAAAGAGGTCCAAATATCCACTTGCAGATTCTGCAAAAAGAGTGTTTCGAAACAACTGTATGAAAAGAAAGGTTAAACACTGTGAGTTGAACGCACACATTGCAAAGCGGTTTCTGAGAATGATTCCGTCTAATTATTATACGAAGGTATTTCCTTTTCTATCATTGGCCTCAAAGCGCTTGATACCTCCA
Source organism: Homo sapiens (assembly GCF_000001405.40). NCBI lineage: Eukaryota > Metazoa > Chordata > Mammalia > Primates > Hominidae > Homo > Homo sapiens. The sequence goes on along the minus strand of NC_000003.12, from coordinate 93,499,532 downwards.
CCTGAAAATTCCACAAAAAGAGTGTTTCCAATCTACTCTGTCTAAAGGAACGTTCAACTCTGTGAGTTGAATACACACACACAGAAAGAATTCACTGAGAATTCTTCTGTCTGGCATTACATGAAGAAATCCCGTTTCCAACGAAGGCCTCAAAGAGGTCCAAATATCCACTTGCAGATTCTGCAAAAAGAGTGTTTCAAAACCGCTCCATTAAAAGGAATGTTGAACTCTGTGAGTTGAATGCAAACATCACAACTCAGTTTCTGAGAATGCTTCTGACTAGATTTTATGGTAAGATATTTCCTTTTCTACCGTAGGCTTCAATGCCCTCTAAATACACCCTTGCAAATTCTACAAAGAGACTGTTTCATAACTGCTCTATAGGAAGAAAGGTTGAACTCTGTGAGTTGAATGCAGAGATCACAACGTGGTTTCTGCGAATGATTCTTTGTAGTTTTTACATGAAGATATTTCGTTGTCAACCGTAGGCTTCAAAGCACTCAAAGTATTCACTTGGAACTTTTACAAAAAGAGTGTTAGAAAACTGCTCTTTCCAAAGTAAGGTTCAACTCTGTGAGTTGAATGCACACATAACAATCAAGAAGTTTCTGAGAATTCTTCTGTCCTGGTTTATATGAACAAATCCCGTTTCCAACGAAGGCCTCAAAGACGTTTAAATATCCACTTGCAGACTTCACAAACAGAGTGTTTCCAAACTGCTCTATGAAAAGAAAGGTTAAACTCTGTGAGTTGAACGCACACATCACAAAGTAGTTTCTGAGAATGATACTGTCTAGTTTTTATACGAAGATATTTCCTTTTGTACCATTGGCCTCATACTGCTAGAATTTTCCACTTGCAAATTCCACAAAAAGAATATTTCCAATCTGCTCTGTCTAAAGGAAGGTTCAACTCTGTGAGTTGAGTACACACACACAAAGAAGCTACTGAGAATTCTTTTGTCAAGAATTATAAGAAGAAATCCCGTTTCCAACGAAGGCCTCAAAGAGTTCCAAATATCCACTTGCACACTGCACAAACTAAGTCTTTCCAAACTGCTCTATGCAAAGAAATGTTCAACTCTGTGAGTTTAATACACACATCACAAAGCAGTTTCTGAGAATGATACTGTCTAGTTTTTATACGAAGATATTTCCTTTTGTACCATTGGCCTCATACTGCTAGAATTTTCCACTTGCAAATTCCACAAAAAGAGTGTTTCCAATCCGCTCTGTCTAAAGGAAGGTTCAACTCTCTGATTTGAATACATACATCCCAAAAGAAGTTACTGAGAATTCTTCTGTCTAGCATTATGTGAAGAAATCCTGTTTCCAACGAAAGCCTCAAAGAGGTCCAAATATCCAGTTGCAGAATTTACAAACTGACTGTTTCCAAACTCATCTATGAAAAGAAAGGTTAAACTCTGTGAGTTGAATGCACATATCACAAAGTAGTTCCTGAGAATGATTCTGTCTAGTTTTTATACGAAGATATTTCCTTTTCCACCAATGGCCTCAAAGTGCTTGAAATCTCCCCTTGCAAATTCCACAGACAAGTGTTTCAAATCTGCACTGTCTAAAGGAAGGTTCAACCCTGTGAGTTGAATACACACACACAGAAAAAAATTCACTGAGAATTCTATTGTCTATCATTACACGAAGAAATCCCGTTTACTACGAAGGCCTCAAAGAGGTCCAAATATCCAGCTGCAGACATTACAAACTGAGTGTTTCCAAAGTGCTCTATGAAAAGAAGTGTTAAACACTGTGAGTTCAATGCACACATCCCAAAGCAGTTTCTGAGAATGATTCCGTCTATTTTTTCTACGAAGATATTTCCTTTTCTGCCGTTGGCCTCAAAGCGCTTGAAATCTCCACTTGCAAATTCCACAAAAAGAGAGTTTCAAATCTGCTCTGTCTAAAGGAAGGTTCAACTCTGTGAGTTGAATACACACCACAAAAAGAAGTTACTGAGAATTCTTCTGTCTAGCATTATATGAAAAATCCCGTTTCCAACGAAGGCCACAAAGAGGTCCAAATATCCACTTGCAGATTCTGCAAAAAGAGTGTTTCCAAACTGCTCTATGAAAAGAAACGTTAAACTCTGTGAGTTGAACGCAAACATCACAAAGTAGTTTCTGAGAATGACTCCGTCTAGTTTTTATACGAAGATATTTCCTTTCCTACCATTCACTTCAAAGCGCTTGAAGTCTCCCCCTGAAAATTCCACAAAAAGTGTTTCCAATCTGCTCCGCCTAAAGGAAGCTTCAACTCTGTGACTTGAATACCCACAACCCAAAGAAGTTACTGAGAATTCTTCTGTCTAGCATTATATGAAGAAATCCCGTTTCCAACGAAGGCCTCAAATACATCCAAATATCCAGTTGCTGACTTTACAAACTGAGTGTTTCCAAACTGCTCTATGAAAAGAAAGGTTAAACACTGTGAGTTGAACACACACGTACCAAAGTAGTTTCTGAGAATGATTCTGTCTAGTTTGCATACGAAGATATTTCCTTTTCTACCATTGGCCTCAAAGCTTTGAAATCTCCACTTGCAAATTCCACAAAAAGAGAGTTTCAACTCTGCTGTTTCTAAAGGAAAGTTCAACTCTGAGAGTTGAATACACACCAGAAAAAGCAGTTACTGAGAAGTCTTCTGTCTAGCATTATATGAAGAAATCCCATTTCCAACGAAGACTTCAAAGAGGTCCAAATATCCACTTGCAGATTCTGCAAAAAGAGTGTTTCGAAACAACTGTATGAAAAGAAAGGTTAAACACTGTGAGTTGAACGCACACATTGCAAAGCAGTTTCTGAGAATGATTCCGTCTAATTATTATACGAAGGTATTTCCTTTTCTATCATTGGCCTCAAAGCGCTTGATACCTCCACCTGAAAATTCCACAAAAAGAGTGTTTCCAATCTACTCTGTCTAAAGGAACGTTCAACTCTGTGAGTTGAATACACACACACAGAAAGAATTCACTGAGAATTCTTCTGTCTGGCATTACATGAAGAAATCCCGTTTCCAACGAAGGCCTCAAAGAGGTCCAAATATCCACTTGCAGATTCTGCAAAAAGAGTGTTTCAAAACCGCTCCATTAAAAGGAATGTTGAACTCTGTGAGTTGAATGCAAACATCACAACTCAGTTGCTGAGAATGCTTCTGACTAGATTTTATGGTAAGATATTTCCTTTTCTACCGTAGGCTTCAATGCCCTCTAAATACACCCTTGCAAATTCTACAAAGAGACTGTTTCATAACTGCTCTATAGGAAGAAAGGTTCAACACTGTGAGTTGAATGCAGAGATCACAACGTGGTTTCTGCGAATGATTCTTTGTAGTTTTTACATGAAGATATTTCGTTGTCAACCGTAGGCTTCAAAGCACTCAAAGTATTCACTTGGAACTTTTACAAAAAGAGTGTTAGAAAACTGCTCTTTCCAAAGTAAGGTTCAACTCTGTGAGTTGAATGCACACATAACAATCAAGAAGTTTCTGAGAATTCTTCTGTCCTGGTTTATATGAAGAAATCCCGTTTCCAACGAAGGCCTCAAAGACGTTTAAATATCCACTTGCAGACTTCACAAACAGAGGGTTTCCAAACTGCTCTATGAAAAGAAAGGTTAAACTCTGTGAGTTGAACGCACACATCACAAAGTAGCTTCTGAGAATGATACTGTCTAGTTTTTATACGAAGATATTTCCTTTCTACCATTGGCGTCAAAGCGTTAGAATTCTCCACTTGCAAATTCCACAAAAAGAGTGTTTCCAATCTGCTCTGTCTAAAGGAAGGTTCAACTCTGTGAGTTGAATACACACACACAAAGAAGCTACTGAGAATTCTTTTGTCAAGAATTATAAGAAGAAATCCCGTTTCCAACCAAGGCCTCAAAGAGTTCCAAATATCCACTTGCACACTGCACAAACTAAGTCTTTCCATACTGCTCTATGCAAAGAAATGTTCAAATCTGTGAGTTTAATACACACATCACAAAGCAGTTTCTGAGAATGATACTGTCTAGTTTTTATACGAAGATATTTCCTTTTGTACCATTGGCCTCATACTGCTAGAATTTTCCACTTGCAAATTCCACAAAAAGAGTGTTTCCAATCCGCTCTGTCTAAAGGAAGGTTCAACTCTCTGATTTGAATACATACATCCCAAAAGAAGTTACTGAGAATTCTTCTGTCTAGCATTATGTGAAGAAATCCCGTTTCCAACGAAAGCCTCAAAGAGGTCCAAATATCCAGTTGCAGAATTTACAAACTGACTGTTTCCAAACTCATCTATGAAAAGAAAGGTTAAACTCTGGGAGTTGAATGCACATATCACAAAGTAGTTCCTGAGAATGATTCTGTCTAGTTTTTATACGAAGATATTTCCTTTTCCACCAATGGCCTCAAAGTGCTTGAAATCTCCCCTTGCAAATTCCACAGACAAGTGTTTCAAATCTGCACTGTCTAAAGGAAGGTTCAACCCTGTGAGTTGAATACACACACACAGAAACAAATTCACTGAGAATTCTATTGTCTATCATTACACGAAGAAATCCCGTTTACTACGAAGGCCTCAAAGAGGTCCAAATATCCAGCTGCAGACATTTCAAACTGAGTGTTTCCAAAGTGCTCTATGAAAAGAAGTGTTAAACACTGTGAGTTCAATGCACACATCCCAAAGCAGTTTCTGAGAATGATTCCGTCTATTTTTTCTACGAAGATATTTCCTTTTCTGCCGTTGGCCTCAAAGCGCTTGAAATCTCCACTTGCAAATTCCACAAAAAGAGAGTTTCAAATCTGCTCTGTCTAAAGGAAGGTTCAACTCTGTGAGTTGAATACACACCACAAAAAGAAGTTACTGAGAATTCTTCTGTCTAGCATTATATGAAAAATCCCGTTTCCAACGAAGGCCACAAAGAGGTCCAAATATCCACTTGCAGATTCTGCAAAAAGAGTGTTTCCAAACTGCTCTATGAAAAGAAACGTTAAACTCTGTGAGTTGAACGCAAACATCACAAAGTAGTTTCTGAGAATGACTCCGTCTAGTTTTTATACGAAGATATTTCCTTTTCTACCATTCACTTCAAAGCGCTTGAAGTCTCCCCCTGAAAATTCCACAAAAAGTGTTTCCAATCTGCTCCGCCTAAAGGAAGCTTCAACTCTGTGAGTTGAATACCCACAACCCAAAGAAGTTACTGAGAATTCTTCTGTCTAGCACTATATGAAGAAATCCCGTTTCCAACGAAGGCCTCAAATACATCCAAATATCCAGTTGCTGACTTTACAAACTGAGTGTTTCCAAACTGCTCTATGAAAAGAAAGGTTAAACACTGTGAGTTGAACACACACGTACCAAAGTAGTTTCTGAGAATGATTCTGTCTAGTTTGCATACGAAGATATTTCCTTTTCTACCATTGGCCTCAAAGCTCTGAAATCTCCACTTGCAAATTCCACAAAAAGAGAGTTTCAAATCTGCTGTTTCTAAAGGAAAGTTCAACTCTGAGAGTTGAATACACACCAGAAAAAGCAGTTACTGAGAAGTCTTCTGTCTAGCATTATATGAAGAAATCCCATTTCCAACGAAGACTTCAAAGAGGTCCAAATATCCACTTGCAGATTCTGCAAAAAGAGTGTTTCGAAACAACTGTATGAAAAGAAAGGTTAAACACTGTGAGTTGAACGCACACATTGCAAAGCGGTTTCTGAGAATGATTCCGTCTAATTATTATACGAAGGTATTTCCTTTTCTATCATTGGCCTCAAAGCGCTTGATACCTCCACCTGAAAATTCCACAAAAAGAGTGTTTCCAATCTACTCTGTCTAAAGGAACGTTCAACTCTGTGAGTTGAATACACACACACAGAAAGAATTCACTGAGAATTCTTCTGTCTGGCATTACATGAAGAAATCCCGTTTCCAACGAAGGCCTCAAAGAGGTCCAAATATCCACTTGCAGATTCTGCAAAAAGAGTGTTTCAAAACCGCTCCATTAAAAGGAATGTTGAACTCTGTGAGTTGAATGCAAACATCACAACTCAGTTGCTGAGAATGCTTCTGACTAGATTTTATGGTAAGATATTTCCTTTTCTACCATAGGCTTCAATGCCCTGTAAATACACCCTTGCAAATTCAACAAAGAGACTGTTTCATAACTGCTCTATAGGAGGAAAGGTTCAACTCTGTGAGTTGAAAGCAGAGATCACAACGTGGTTTCTGCGAATGATTCTTTGTAGTTTTTACATGAAGATATTTCGTTGTCAACCGTAGGCTTCAAAGCACTCAAAGTATTCACTTGGAACTTTTACAAAAAGAGTGTTAGAAAACTGCTCTTTCCAAAGTAAGGTTCAACTCTGTGAGTTGAATGCACACATAACAATCAAGAAGTTTCTGAGAATTCTTCTGTCCTGGTTTATATGAAAAAATCCCGTTTCCAACGAAGGCCTCAAAGACGTTTAAATATCCACTTGCAGACTTCACAAACAGAGGGTTTCCAAACTGCTCTATGAAAAGAAAGGTTAAACTCTGTGAGTTGAACGCACACATCACAAAGTAGCTTCTGAGAATGATACTGTCTAGTTTTTATACGAAGATATTTCCTTTCTACCATTGGCGTCAAAGCGCTAGAATTCTCCACTTGCAAATTCCACAAAAAGAGTGTTTCCAATCTGCTCTGTCTAAAGGAAGGTTCAACTCTGTGAGTTGAATACACACACACAAAGAAGCTACTGAGAATTCTTTTGTCAAGAATTATAAGAAGAAATCCCGTTTCCAACGAAGGCCTCAAAGAGTTCCAAATATCCACTTGCACACTGCACAAACTAAGTCTTTCCAAACTGCTCTATGCAAAGAAATGTTCAACTCTGTGAGTTTAATACACACATCACAAAGCAGTTTCTGAGAATGATACTGTCTAGTTTTTATACGAAGATATTTCCTTTTGTACCATTGGCCTCATACTGCTAGAATTTTCCACTTGCAAATTCCACAAAAAGAGTGTTTCCAATCCGCTCTGTCTAAAGGAAGGTTCAACTCTCTGATTTGAATACATACATCCCAAAAGAAGTTACTGAGAATTCTTCTGTCTAGCATTATGTGAAGAAATCCCGTTTCCAACGAAAGCCTCAAAGAGGTCCAAATATCCAGTTGCAGAATTTACAAACTGACTGTTTCCAAACTCATCTATGAAAAGAAAGGTTAAACTCTGTGAGTTGAATGCACATATCACAAAGTAGTTCCTGAGAATGATTCTGTCTAGTTTTCATACGAAGATATTTCCTTTTCCACCAATGGCCTCAAAGTGCTTGAAATCTCCCCTTGCAAATTCCACAGACAAGTGTCTCAAATCTGCACTGTCTAAAGGAAGGTTCAACCCTGTGAGTTGAATACACACACACAGAAAAAAATTCACTGAGAATTCTATTGTCTATCATTACACGAAGAAATCCCGTTTACTACGAAGGCCTCAAAGAGGTCCAAATATCCAGCTGCAGACATTACAAACTGAGTGTTTCCAAAGTGCTCTATGAAAAGAAGTGTTAAACACTGTGAGTTCAATGCACACATCCCAAAGCAGTTTCTGAGAATGATTCCGTCTATTTTTTCTACGAAGATATTTCCTTTTCTGCCGTTGGCCTCAAAGCGCTTGAAATCTCCACTTGCAAATTCCACAAAGAGAGAGTTTCAAATCTGCTCTGTCTAAAGGAAGGTTCAACTCTGTGAGTTGAATACACACCACAAAAAGAAGTTACTGAGAATTCTTCTGTCTAGCATTATATGAAAAATCCCGTTTCCAACGAAGGCCACAAAGAGGTCCAAATATCCACTTGCAGATTCTGCAAAAAGAGTGTTTCCAAACTGCTCTATGAAAAGAAACGTTAAACTCTGTGAGTTGAACGCAAACATCACAAAGTAGTTTCTGAGAATGACTCCGTCTAGTTTTTATACGAAGATATTTCCTTTTCTACCATTCACTTCAAAGCGCTTGAAGTCTCCCCCTGAAAATTCCACAAAAAGTGTTTCCAATCTGCTCCGCCTAAAGGAAGCTTCAACTCTGTGACTTGAATACCCACAACCCAAAGAAGTTACTGAGAATTCTTCTGTCTAGCATTATATGAAGAAATCCCGTTTCCAACGAAGGCCTCAAATACATCCAAATATCCAGTTGCTGACTTTACAAACTGAGTGTTTCCAAACTGCTCTATGAAAAGAAAGGTTAAACACTGTGAGTTGAACACACACGTACCAAAGTAGTTTCTGAGAATGATTCTGTCTAGTTTGCATACGAAGATATTTCCTTTTCTACCATTGGCCTCAAAGCTCTGAAATCTCCACTTGCAAATTCCACAAAAAGAGAGTTTCAAATCTGCTGTTTCTAAAGGAAAGTTCAACTCTGAGAGTTGAATACACACCAGAAAAAGCAGTTACTGAGAAGTCTTCTGTCTAGCATTATATGAAGAAATCCCATTTCCAAAGAAGACTTCAAACAGGTCCAAATATCCACTTGCAGATTCTGCAAAAAGAGTGTTTCGAAACAACTGTATGAAAAGAAAGGTTAAACACTGTGAGTTGAACGCACCCATTGCAAAGCATTTTCTGACAATGATTCCGTCTAATTATTATACGAAGGTATTTCCTTTTCTATCATGGGCCTCAAAGCGCTTGATACCTCCACCTGAAAATTCCACAAAAAGAGTGTTTCCAATCTACTCTGTCTAAAGGAAAGTTCAACTCTGTTTGATGAATACACACACACAGAAAGAATTCACTGAGAGTTCTTCTGTCTAGCATTATGTGAAGAAATCCCGTTTCCAACGAAAGCCTCAAAGTGGTCCAAATATCCAGTTGCAGATTCTGCAAAAAGAGTGTTTCAAAACCGCTCCATTAAAAGGAATGTTGAACTCTGTGAGTTGAATGCAAACATCACAACTCAGTTGCTGAGAATGCTTCTGACTAGATTTTATGGTAAGATATTTCCTTTTCTACCGTAGGCTTCAATGCCCTCTAAATACACCCTTGCAAATTCTACAAAGAGACTGTTTCATAACTGCTCTATAGGAAGAAAGGTTGAACTCTGTGAGTTGAATGCAGAGATCACAACGTGGTTTCTGCGAATGATTCTTTGTAGTTTTTACATGAAGATATTTCGTTGTCAACCGTAGGCTTCAAAGCACTCAAAGTATTCACTTGGAACTTTTACAAAAAGAGTGTTAGAAAACTGCTCTTTCCAAAGTAAGGTTCAACTCTGTGAGTTGAATGCACACATAACAATCAAGAAGTTTCTGAGAATTCTTCTGTCCTGGTTTATATGAAGAAATCCCGTTTCCAACGAAGGCCTCAAAGACGTTTAAATATCCACCTGCAGACTTCACAAACAGAGTGTTTCCAAACTGCTCTATGAAAAGAAAGGTTAAACTCTGTGAGTTGAACGCACACATCACAAAGTAGTTTCTGAGAATGATACTGTCTAGTTTTTATACGAAGATATTTCCTTTCTACCATTGGCGTCAAAGCGCTAGAATTCTCCACTTGCAAATTCCACAAAAAGAGTGTTTCCAATCTGCTCTGTCTAAAGGAAGGTTCAACTCTGTGAGTTGAATACACACACACAAAGAAGCTACTGAGAATTCTTTTTTCAAGAAATTATAAGAAGAAATCCCGTTTCCAACGAAGGCCTCAAAGAGTTCCAAATATCCACTTGCACACTGCACAAACTAAGTCTTTCCAAACTGCTCTATGCAAAGAAATGTTCAACTCTGTGAGTTTAATACACACATCACAAAGCAGTTTCTGAGAATGATACTGTCTAGTTTTTATACGAAGATATTTCCTTTTGTACCATTGGCCTCATACTGCTAGAATTTTCCACTTGCAAATTCCACAAAAAGAGTGTTTCCAATCCGCTCTGTCTAAAGGAAGGTTCAACTCTCTGATTTGAATACATACATCCCAAAAGAAGTTACTGAGAATTCTTCTGTCTAGCATTATGTGAAGAAATCCCGTTTCCAACGAAAGCCTCAAAGAGGTCCAAATATCCAGTTGCAGAATTTACAAACTGACTGTTTCCAAACTCATCTATGAAAAGAAAGGTTAAACCCTGTGAGTTGAATGCACATATCACAAAGTAGTTCCTGAGAATGATTCTGTCTAGTTTTTATACGAAGATATTTCCTTTTCCACCAATGGCCTCAAAGTGCTTGAAATCTCCCCTTGCAAATTCCACAGACAAGTGTCTCAAATCTGCACTGTCTAAAGGAAGGTTCAACCCTGTGAGTTGAATACACACACACAGAAAAAAATTCACTGAGAATTCTATTGTCTATCATTACACGAAGAAATCCCGTTTACTACGACGGCCTCAAAGAGGTCCAAATATCCAGCTGCAGACATTACAAACTGAGTGTTTCCAAAGTGCTCTATGAAAAGAAGTGTTAAACACTGTGAGTTCAATGCACACATCCCAAAGCAGTTTCTGAGAATGATTCCGTCTATTTTTTCTACGAAGATATTTCCTTTTCTGCCGTTGGCCTCAAAGCGCTTGAAATCTCCACTTGCAAATTCCACAAAAAGAGAGTTTCAAATCTGCTCTGTCTAAAGGAAGGTTCAACTCTGTGAGTTGAATACACACCACAAAAAGAAGTTACTGAGAATTCTTCTGTCTAGCATTATATGAAAAATCCCGTTTCCAACGAAGGCCACAAAGAGGTCCAAATATCCACTTGCAGATTCTGCAAAAAGAGTGTTTCCAAACTGCTCTATGAAAAGAAACGTTAAACTCTGTGAGTTGAACGCAAACATCACAAAGTAGTTTCTGAGAATGACTCCGTCTAGTTTTTATACGAAGATATTTCCTTTCCTACCATTCACTTCAAAGCGCTTGAAGTCTCCCCCTGAAAATTCCACAAAAGTGTTTCCAATCTGCTCCGCCTAAAGGAAGCTTCAACTCTGTGACTTGAATACCCACAACCCAAAGAAGTTACTGAGAATTCTTCTGTCTAGCACTATATGAAGAAATCCCGTTTCCAACGAAGGCCTCAAATACATCCAAATATCCAGTTGCTGACTTTACAAACTGAGTGTTTCCAAACTGCTCTATGAAAAGAAAGGTTAAACACTGTGAGTTGAACACACACGTACCAAAGTAGTTTCTGAGAATGATTCTGTCTAGTTTGCATACGAAGATATTTCCTTTTCTACCATTGGCCTCAAAGCTCTGAAATCTCCACTTGCAAATTCCACAAAAAGAGAGTTTCAAATCTGCTGTTTCTAAAGGAAAGTTCAACTCTGAGAGTTGAATACACACCAGAAAAAGCAGTTACTGAGAAGTCTTCTGTCTAGCATTATATGAAGAAATCCCATTTCCAACGAAGACTTCAAAGAGGTCCAAATATCCACTTCCAGATTCCGCAAAAAGGGTGTTTCGAAACAACTGTATGAAAAGAAAGGTTAAACACTGTGAGTTGAAGGCACACATTGCAAAGCAGTTTCTGAGAATGATTCCATCTAATTATTATACGAAGGTATTTCCTTTTCTATCATGGCCTCAAAGCGCTTGATACCTCCACGTGAACATTCCACAAAAAGAGTGTTTCCAATCTACTCTGTCTAAGGGAACGTTCAACTCTGTGAGTTGAGTACACACACACAGAAAGAATTCACTGAGAGTTCTTCTGTCTGGGATTACATGAAGAAATCCCGTTTCTAACGAAGGCCTCAAAGAGGTCCAAATATCCACTTGCAGATTCTGGAAAAAGAGTGTTTCAAAACCGCTCTATGAAAAGGAATGTTGAACTCTGTGAGTTGAATGCAAACATCACAACTCAGTTTCTGAGAATGCTTCTGACTAGATTTTATGGTCAGATATTTCCTTTTCTACCGTAGGCCTCAATGCCCTCTAAATACACCCTTGCAAATTCTACAAAGAGACTGTTTAATAACTGCTCTATAGGAAGAAAGGTTGAACTCTGTGAGTTGAATGCAGAGATCACAACGTGGTTTCGGCGAATGATTCTTTGTAGTTTTTACAGGAAGATATTTCGTTGTCAACCGTAGGCTTCAAAGCACTCAAAGTATTCACTTGGAACTTTTACAAAAAGAGTGTTAGAAAACTGCTCTTTCCAAAGTAAGGTTCAACTCTGTGAGTTGAATGCACACATAACAATCAAGAAGTTTCTGAGAATTCTTCTGTCCTGGTTTATATGAAAAAATCCCGTTTCCAACGAAGGCCTCAAAGACGTTTAAATATCCACTTGCAGACTTCACAAACAGAGGGTTTCCAAACTGCTCTATGAAAAGAAAGGTTAAACTCTGTGAGTTGAACGCACACATCACAAAGTAGCTTCTGAGAATGATACTGTCTAGTTTTTATACGAAGATATTTCCTTTCTACCATTGGCGTCAAAGCGCTAGAATTCTCCACTTGCAAATTCCACAAAAAGAGTGTTTCCAATCTGCTCTGTCTAAAGGAAGGTTCAACTCTGTGAGTTGAATACACACACACAAAGAAGCTACTGAGAATTCTTTTGTCAAGAATTATAAGAAGAAATCCCGTTTCCAATGAAGGCCTCAAAGAGTTCCAAATATCCACTTGCACACTGCACAAACTAAGTCTTTCCAAACTGCTCTATGCAAAGAAATGTTCAACTCTGTGAGTTTAATACACACATCACAAAGCAGTTTCTGAGAATGATACTGTCTAGTTTTTATACGAAGATATTTCCTTTTGTACCATTGGCCTCATACTGCTAGAATTTTCCACTTGCAAATTCCACAAAAAGAGTGTTTCCAATCCGCTCTGTCTAAAGGAAGGTTCAACTCTCTGATTTGAATACATACATCCCAAAAGAAGTTACTGAGAATTCTTCTGTCTAGCATTATGTGAAGAAATCCCGTTTCCAACGAAAGCCTCAAAGAGGTCCAAATATCCAGTTGCAGAATTTACAAACTGACTGTTTCCAAACTCATCTATGAAAAGAAAGGTTAAACTCTGTGAGTTGAATGCACATATCACAAAGTAGTTCCTGAGAATGATTCTGTCTAGTTTTCATACGAAGATATTTCCTTTTCCACCAATGGCCTCAAAGTGCTTGAAATCTCCCCTTGCAAATTCCACAGACAAGTGTTTCAAATCTGCACTGTCTAAAGGAAGGTTCAACCCTGTGAGTTGAATACACACACACAGAAAAAAATTCACTGAGAATTCTATTGTCTATCATTACACGAAGAAATCCCGTTTACTACGAAGGCCTCAAAGAGGTCCAAATATCCAGCTGCAGACATTACAAACTGAGTGTTTCCAAAGTGCTCTATGAAAAGAAGTGTTAAACACTGTGAGTTCAATGCACACATCCCAAAGCAGTTTCTGAGAATGATTCCGTCTATTTTTTCTACGAAGATATTTCCTTTTCTACCGTTGGCCTCAAAGCGCTTGAAATCTCCACTTGCAAATTCCACGAAAAGAGAGTTTCAAATCTGCTCTGTCTAAAGGAAGGTTCAACTCTGTGAGTTGAATACACACCACAAAAAGAAGTTACTGAGAATTCTTCCGTCTAGCATTATATGAAAAATCCCGTTTCCAACGAAGGCCACAAAGAGGTCCAAATATCCACTTGCAGATTCTGCAAAAAGAGTGTTTCCAAACTGCTCTATGAAAAGAAACGTTAAACTCTGTGAGTTGAACGCAAACATCACAAAGTAGTTTCTGAGAATGACTCCGTCTAGTTTTTATACAAAGATATTTCCTTTTCTACCGTTGGCCTCAAAGCGCTTGAAGTCTCCCCCTGAAAATTCCACAAAAAGTGTTTCCAATCTGCTCCGCATAAAGGAAGCTTCAGCTCTGTGAGTTGAATACCCACAACCCAAAGAAGTTACTGAGAATTCTTCTGTCTAGCATTACATGAAGAAATCCCGTTTCCAACGAAGGCCTCAAATACATCCAGATATCCAGTTGCTGACTTTACAAACTGAGTGTTTCCAAACTGCTCTATGAAAGGAAAGGTTAAACACTGTGAGTTGAACACACACGTACCAAAGTAGTTTCTGAGAATGATTCTGTCTAGTTTGCATACGAAGATATTTCCTTTTCTACCATTGGCCTCAAAGCTTTGAAATCTCCACTTGCAAATTCCACAAAAAGAGAGTTTCAAATCTGCTGTTTCTAAAGGAAAGTTCAACTCTGAGAGTTGAATACACACCAGAAAAACCAGTTACTGAGAAGTCTTCTGTCTAGCATTATATGAAGAAATCCCATTTCCAACGAAGACTTCAAAGAGGTCCAAATATCCACTTGCAGATTCTGCAAAAAGAGTGTTTCGAAACAACTGTATGAAAAGAAAGGTTAAACACTGTGAGTTGAACGCACACATTGCAAAGCAGTTTCTGAGAATGATTCCGTCTAATTATTATACGAAGGTATTTCCTTTTCTATCATTGGCCTCAAAGCGCTTGATACCTCCACCTGAAAATTCCACAAAAAGAGTGTTTCCAATCTACTCTGTCTAAAGGAACGTTCAACTCTGTGAGTTGAATACACACACACAGAAAGAATTCACTGAGAATTCTTCTGTCTGGCATTACATGAAGAAATCCCGTTTCCAACGAAGGCCTCAAAGAGGTCCAAATATCCACTTGCAGATTCTGCAAAAAGAGTGTTTCAAAACCGCTCCATTAAAAGGAATGTTGAACTCTGTGAGTTGAATGCAAACATCACAACTCAGTTGCTGAGAATGCTTCTGACTAGATTTTATGGTAAGATATTTCCTTTTCTACCGTAGGCTTCAATGCCCTCTAAATACACCCTTGCAAATTCTACAAAGAGACTGTTTCATAACTGCTCTATAGGAAGAAAGGTTCAACACTGTGAGTTGAATGCAGAGATCACAACGTGGTTTCTGCGAATGATTCTTTTTAGTTTTTACAGGAAGATATTTCATTGTCAAACGTAGGCTTCAAAGCACTCAAAGTATTCACTTGGAACTTTTACAAAAAGAGTGTTAGAAAACTGCTCTTTCCAAAGTAAGGTTCAACTCTGTGAGTTGAATGCACACATAAGAATGAAGAAGTTTCTGAGAATTCTTCTGTCCTGGTTTATATGAAAAAATCCCGTTTCCAACGAAGGCCTCAGAGACGTTTAAATATCCACTTGCAGACTTCACAAACAGAGTGTTTCCAAACTGCTCTATGAAAAGAAAGGTTAAACTCTGTGAGTTGAACGCACACATCACAAAGTTGTTTCTGAGAATGATACTGTCTAGTTTTTATACGAAGATATTTCCTTTCTACCATTGGCGTCAAAGCGTTAGAATTCTCCACTTGCAAATTCCACAAAAAGAGTGTTTCCAATCTGCTCTGTCTAAAGGAAGGTTCAACTCTGTGAGTTGAATACACACACACAAAGAAGCTACTGAGAATTCTTTTGTCAAGAATTACAAGAAGAAATCCCGTTTCCAACGAAGGCCTCAAAGAGTTCCAAATATCCACTTGCACACTGCACAAACTAAGTCTTTCCAAACTGCTCTATGCAAAGAAATGTTCAACTCTGTGAGTTTAATACGCACATCACAAAGCAGTTTCTGAGAATGATACTGTCTAGTTTTTATACGAAGATATTTCCTTTTGTACCATTGGCCTCATACTGCTAGAATTTTCCACTTGCAAATTCCACAAAAAGAGTGTTTCCAATCCGCTCTGTCTAAAGGAAGGTTCAACTCTCTGATTTGAATACATACATCCCAAAAGAAGTTACTGAGAATTCTTCTGTCTAGCATTATGTGAAGAAATCCCGTTTCCAACGAAAGCCTCAAAGAGGTCCAAATATCCAGTTGCAGAATTTACAAACTGACTGTTTCCAAACTCATCTATGAAAAGAAAGGTTAAACTCTGGGAGTTGAATGCCCATATCACAAAGTAGTTCCTGAGAATGATTCTGTATAGTTTTCATACGAAGATATTTCCTTTTCCACCAATGGCCTCAAAGTGCTTGAAATCTCCCCTTGCAAATTCCACAGACAAGTGTTTCAAATCTGCACTGTCTAAAGGATGGTTCAACCCTGTGAGTTGAATACACACACACAGAAAAAAATTCACTGAGAATTCTATTGTCTATCATTACACGAAGAAATCCCGTTTACTACGAAGGCCTCAAAGAGGTCCAAATATCCAGCTGCAGACATTATAAACTGAGTGTTTCCAAAGTGCTCTATGAAAAGAAGTGTTAAACACTGTGAGTTCAATGCACACATCCCAAAGCAGTTTCTGAGAATGATTCCGTCTATTTTTTCTAAGAAGATATTTCCTTTTCTACCGTTGGCCTCAAAGCGCTTGAAATCCCCACTTGCAAATTCCACGAAAAGAGAGTTTCAAATCTGCTCTGTCTAAAGGAAGGTTCAACTCTGTGAGTTGAATACACACCACAAAAAGAAGTTACTGAGAATTTTTCTGTCTAGCATTATATGAAAAATCCCGTTTCCAACGAAGGCCACAAAGAGGTCCAAATATCCACTTGCAGATTCTGCAAAAAGAGTGTTTCCAAACTGCTCTATGAAAAGAAACGTTAAACTCTGTGAGTTGAACGCAAACATCACAAAGTAGTTTCTGAGAATGACTCCGTCTAGTTTTTATACGAAGATATTTCCTTTTCTACCATTCACTTCAAAGCGCTTGAAGTCTCCCCCTGAAAATTCCACAAAAAGTGTTTCCAATCTGCTCCGCCTAAAGGAAGCTTCAACTCTGTGAGTTGAATACCCACAACCCTAAGAAGTTACTGAGAATTCTTCTGTCTAGCATTATATGAAGAAATCCCGTTTCCAACGAAGGCCTCAAATACATCCAAATATCCAGTTGCTGACTTTACAAACTGAGTGTTTCCAAACTGCTCTATGAAAAGAAAGGTTAAACACTGTGAGTTGAACACACACGTACCAAAGTAGTTTCTGAGAATGATTCTGTCTAGTTTGCATACGAAGATATTTCCTTTTCTACCATTGGCCTCAAAGCTCTGAAATCTCCACTTGCAAATTCCACAAAAAGAGAGTTTCAAATCTGCTGTTTCTAAAGGAAAGTTCAACTCTGAGAGTTGAATACACACCAGAAAAAGCAGTTACTGAGAAGTCTTCTGTCTAGCATTATATGAAGAAATCCCCATTTCCAACGAAGACTTCAAAGAGGTCCAAATATCCACTTGCAGATTCTGCAAAAAGAGTGTTTCGAAACAACTCTATGAAAAGAAAGGTTAAACACTGTGAGTTGAACGCACACATTGCAAAGCAGTTTCTGAGAATGATTCCGTCTAATTATTATATGAAGGTATTTCCTTTTCTATCATGGGCCTCAAAGCGCTTGATACCTCCACCTGAAAATTCCACAAAAAGAGTGTTTCCAATCTACTCTGTCTAAAGGAACGTTCAACTCTGTGAGTTGAATACACACACACAGAAAGAATTCACTGGAGAATTCTTCTGTCTGGCATTACATGAAGAAATCCCGTTTCCAACGAAGGCCTCAAAGAGGTCCAAATATCCACTTGCAGATTCTGCAAAAAGAGTGTTTCAAAACCGCTCCATTAAAAGGAATGTTGAACTCTGTGAGTTGAATGGAAACATCACAACTCAGTTGCTGAGAATGCTTCTGACTAGATTTTATGGTAAGATATTTCCTTTTCTACCGTAGGCTTCAATGCCCTCTAAATACACCCTTGCAAATTCTACAAAGAGACTGTTTCATAACTGCTCTATAGGAAGAAAGGTTCAACTCTGTGAGTTGAATGCAGAGATCACAACGTGGTTTCTGCGAATGATTCTTTGTAGTTTTTACATGAAGATATTTCGTTGTCAACCGTAGGCTTCAAAGCACTCAAAGTATTCACTTGGAACTTTTACAAAAAGAGTGTTAGAAAACTGCTCTTTCCAAAGTAAGGTTCAACTCTGTGAGTTGAATGCACCCATAACAACCAAGAAGTTTCTGAGAATTCTTCTGTCCTGGTTTATATGAACAAATCCCGTTTCCAACGAAGGCCTCAAAGACGTTTAAATATATACCTGCAGACTTCACAAACAGAGTGTTTCCAAACTGCTCTATGAAAAGAAAGGTTAAACTCTGTGAGTTGAACGCACACATCACAAAGTAGTTTCTGAGAATGATACTGTCTAGTTTTTATACCAAGATATTTCCTTTCTACCATTGGCGTCAAAGCGCTAGAATTCTCCACTTGCAAATTCCACAAAAAGAGTGTTTCCAATCTGCTCTGTCTCAAGGAAGGTTCAACTCTGTGAGTTGAATACACACACACAAAGAAGCTACTGAGAATTCTTTTGTCAAGAATTATAAGAAGAAATCCCGTTTCCAACGAAGGCCTCAAAGAGTTCCAAATATCCACTTGCACACTGCACAAACTAAGTCTTTCCAAACTGCTCTATGCAAAGAAATGTTCAACTCTGTGAGTTTAATACACACATCACAAAGCAGTTTCTGAGAATGATACTGTCTAGTTTTTATACGAAGATATTTCCTTTTGTACCATTGGCCTCATACTGCTAGAATTTTCCACTTGCAAATTCCACAAAAAGAGTGTTTCCAATCCGCTCTGTCTAAAGGAAGGTTCAACTCTCTGATTTGAATACATACATCCCAAAAGAAGTTACTGAGAATTCTTCTGTCTAGCATTATGTGAAGAAATCCCGTTTCCAACGAAAGCCTCAAAGAGGTCCAAATATCCAGTTGCAGAATTTACAAACTGACTGTTTCCAAACTCATCTATGAAAAGAAAGGTTAAACTCTGGGAGTTGAATGCACATATCACAAAGTAGTTCCTGAGAATGATTCTGTCTAGTTTTTATACGAAGATATTTCCTTTTCCACCAATGGCCTCAAAGTGCTTGAAATCTCCCCTTGCAAATTCCACAGAAAAGTGTTTCAAATCTGCACTGTCTAAAGGAAGGTCCAACCCTGTGAGTTGAATACACACACACAGAAAAAAATTCACTGAGAATTCTATTGTCTATCATTACACGAAGAAATCCCGTTTACTACGAAGGCCTCAAAGAGGTCCAAATATCCAGCTGCAGACATTACAAACTGAGTGTTTCCAAAGTGCTCTATGAAAAGAAGTGTTAAACACTGTGT
The DNA here is from genome assembly GCF_000001405.40 of Homo sapiens. Taxonomy (NCBI): domain Eukaryota; kingdom Metazoa; phylum Chordata; class Mammalia; order Primates; family Hominidae; genus Homo; species Homo sapiens. Next base: position 93,480,415 of record NC_000003.12, on the reverse strand, counting down.
GTTCAATGCACACATCCCAAAGCAGTTTCTGAGAATGATTCCGTCTATTTTTTCTACGAAGATATTTCCTTTTCTGCCGTTGGCCTCAAAGCGCTTGAAATCTCCACTTGCAAATTCCACAAAAAGAGAGTTTCAAATCTGCTCTGTCTAAAGGAAGGTTCAACTCTGTGAGTTGAATACACACCACAAAAAGAAGTTACTGAGAATTCTTCTGTCTAGCATTATATGAAAAATCCCGTTTCCAACGAAGGCCACAAAGAGGTCCAAATATCCACTTGCAGATTCTGCAAAAAGAGTGTTTCCAAACTGCTCTATGAAAAGAAACGTTAAACTCTGTGAGTTGAACGCAAACATCACAAAGTAGTTTCTGAGAATGACTCCGTCTAGTTTTTATACGAAGATATTTCCTTTCCTACCATTCACTTCAAAGCGCTTGAAGTCTCCCCCTGAAAATTCCACAAAAAGTGTTTCCAATCTGCTCCGCCTAAAGGAAGCTTCAACTCTGTGACTTGAATACCCACAACCCAAAGAAGTTACTGAGAATTCTTCTGTCTAGCATTACATGAAGAAATCCCGTTTCCAATGAAGGCCTCAAATACATCCAAATATCCAGTTGCTGACTTTACAAACTGAGTGTTTCCAAACTGCTCTATGAAAAGAAAGGTTAAACACTGTGAGTTGAACACACACGTACCAAAGTAGTTTCTGAGAATGATTCTGTCTAGTTTGCATACGAAGATATTTCCTTTTCTACCATTGGCCTCAAAGCTTTGAAATCTCCACTTGCAAATTCCACAAAAAGAGAGTTTCAACTCTGCTGTTTCTAAAGGAAAGTTCAACTCTGAGAGTTGAATACACACCAGAAAAAGCAGTTACTGAGAAGTCTTCTGTCTAGCATTATATGAAGAAATCCCATTTCCAACGAAGACTTCAAAGAGGTCCAAATATCCACTTGCAGATTCTGCAAAAAGAGTGTTTCGAAACAACTGTATGAAAAGAAAGGTTAAACACTGTGAGTTGAACGCACACATTGCAAAGCAGTTTCTGAGAATGATTCCGTCTAATTATTATACGAAGGTATTTCCTTTTCTATCATTGGCCTCAAAGCGCTTGATACCTCCACCTGAAAATTCCACAAAAAGAGTGTTTCCAATCTACTCTGTCTAAAGGAACGTTCAACTCTGTGAGTTGAATACACACACACAGAAAGAATTCACTGAGAATTCTTCTGTCTGGCATTACATGAAGAAATCCCGTTTCCAACGAAGGCCTCAAAGAGGTCCAAATATCCACTTGCAGATTCTGCAAAAAGAGTGTTTCAAAACCGCTCCATTAAAAGGAATGTTGAACTCTGTGAGTTGAATGCAAACATCACAACTCAGTTGCTGAGAATGCTTCTGACTAGATTTTATGGTAAGATATTTCCTTTTCTACCGTAGGCTTCAATGCCCTCTAAATACACCCTTGCAAATTCTAGAAAGAGACTGTTTCATAACTGCTCTATAGGAAGAAAGGTTGAACTCTGTGAGTTGAATGCAGAGATCACAACGTGGTTTCTGCGAATGATTCTTTGTAGTTTTTACATGAAGATATTTCGTTGTCAACCGTAGGCTTCAAAGCACTCAAAGTATTCACTTGGAACTTTTACAAAAAGAGTGTTAGAAAACTGCTCTTTCCAAAGTAAGGTTCAACTCTGTGAGTTGAATGCACACATAACAATCAAGAAGTTTCTGAGAATTCTTCTGTCCTGGTTTATATGAAAAAATCCCGTTTCCAACGAAGGCCTCAAAGACGTTTAAATATCCACTTGCAGACTTCACAAACAGAGGGTTTCCAAACTGCTCTATGAAAAGAAAGGTTAAACTCTGTGAGTTGAACGCACACATCACAAAGTAGCTTCTGAGAATGATACTGTCTAGTTTTTATACGAAGATATTTCCTTTCTACCATTGGCGTCAAAGCGCTAGAATTCTCCACTTGCAAATTCCACAAAAAGAGTGTTTCCAATCTGCTCTGTCTAAAGGAAGGTTCAACTCTGTGAGTTGAATACACACACACAAAGAAGCTACTGAGAATTCTTTTGTCAAGAATTATAAGAAGAAATCCCGTTTCCAACCAAGGCCTCAAAGAGTTCCAAATATCCACTTGCACACTGCACAAACTAAGTCTTTCCATACTGCTCTATGCAAAGAAATGTTCAAATCTGTGAGTTTAATACACACATCACAAAGCAGTTTCTGAGAATGATACTGTCTAGTTTTTATACGAAGATATTTCCTTTTGTACCATTGGCCTCATACTGCTAGAATTTTCCACTTGCAAATTCCACAAAAAGAGTGTTTCCAATCCGCTCTGTCTAAAGGAAGGTTCAACTCTCTGATTTGAATACATACATCCCAAAAGAAGTTACTGAGAATTCTTCTGTCTAGCATTATGTGAAGAAATCCCGTTTCCAACGAAAGCCTCAAAGAGGTCCTAATATCCAGTTGCAGAATTTACAAACTGACTGTTTCCAAACTCATCTATGAAAAGAAAGGTTAAACCCTGTGAGTTGAATGCACATATCACAAAGTAGTTCCTGAGAATGATTCTGTCTAGTTTTTATACGAAGATATTTCCTTTTCCACCAATGGCCTCAAAGTGCTTGAAATCTCCCCTTGCAAATTCCACAGAAAAGTGTTTCAAATCTGCACTGTCTAAAGGAAGGTTCAACCCTGTGAGTTGAATACACACACACAGAAAAAAATTCACTGAGAATTCTATTGTCTATCATTACACGAAGAAATCCCGTTTACTACGAAGGCCTCAAAGAGGTCCAAATATCCAGCTGCAGACATTACAAACTGAGTGTTTCCAAAGTGCTCTATGAAAAGAAGTGTTAAACACTGTGAGTTCAATGCACACATCCCAAAGCAGTTTCTGAGAATGATTCCGTCTATTTTTTCTACGAAGATATTTCCTTTTCTACCGTTGGCCTCAAAGCGCCTGAAATCTCCACTTGCAAATTCCACGAAAAGAGAGTTTCAAATCTGCTCTGTCTAAAGGAAGGTTCCACTCTGTGAGTTGAATACACACCACAAAAAGAAGTTACTGAGAATTCTTCTGTCTAGCATTATATGAAAAATCCCGTTTCCAACGAAGGCCACAAAGAGGTCCAAATATCCACTTGCAGATTCTGCAAAAAGAGTGTTTCCAAACTGCTCTATGAAAAGAAACGTTAAACTCTGTGAGTTGAACGCAAACATCACAAAGTAGTTTCTGAGAATGACTCCGTCTAGTTTTTATACGAAGATATTTCCTTTCCTACCATTCACTTCAAAGCGCTTGAAGTCTCCCCCTGAAAATTCCACAAAAAGTGTTTCCAATCTGCTCCGCCTAAAGGAAGCTTCAACTCTGTGAGTTGAATACCCACAACCCAAAGAAGTTACTGAGAATTCTTCTGTCTAGCATTATATGAAGAAATCCCGTTTCCAACGAAGGCCTCAAATACATCCACATATCCAGTTGCTGACTTTACAAACTGAGTGTTTCCAAACTGCTCTATGAAAGGAAAGGTTGAACACTGTGAGTTGAACACACACGTACCAAAGTAGTTTCTGAGAATGATTCTGTCTACTTTGCATACGAAGATATTTCCTTTTCTACCATTGGCCTCAAAGCTCTGAAATCTCCACTTGCAAATTCCACAAAAAGAGAGTTTCAACTCTGCTGTTTCTAAAGGAAAGTTCAACTCTGAGAGTTGAATACACACCAGAAAAAGCAGTTACTGAGAAGTCTTCTGTCTAGCATTATATGAAGAAATCCCATTTCCAACGAAGACTTCAAAGAGGTCCAAATATCCACTTGCAGATTCTGCAAAAAGAGTGTTTCGAAACAACTGTATGAAAAGAAAGGTTAAACACTGTGAGTTGAACGCACACATTGCAAAGCAGTTTCTGAGAATGATTCCGTCTAATTATTATACGAAGGTATTTCCTTTTCTATCATTGGCCTCAAAGCGCTTGATACCTCCACCTGAAAATTCCACAAAAAGAGTGTTTCCAATCTACTCTGTCTAAAGGAACGTTCAACTCTGTGAGTTGAATACACACACACAGAAAGAATTCACTGAGAATTCTTCTGTCTGGCATTACATGAAGAAATCCCGTTTCCAACGAAGGCCTCAAAGAGGTCCAAATATCCACTTGCAGATTCTGCAAAAAGAGTGTTTCAAAACCGCTCCATTAAAAGGAATGTTGAACTCTGTGAGTTGAATGCAAACATCACAACTCAGTTTCTGAGAATGCTTCTGACTAGATTTTATGGTAAGATATTTCCTTTTCTACCGTAGGCTTCAATGCCCTCTAAATACACCCTTGCAAATTCTACAAAGAGACTGCTTCATAACTGCTCTATAGGAGGAAAGGTTCAACTCTGTGAGTTGAATGCAGAGATCACAACGTGGTTTCTGCGAATGATTCTTTGTAGTTTTTACATGAAGATATTTCGTTGTCTACCGTAGGCTTCAAAGCACTCAAAGTATTCACTTGGAACTTTTACAAAAAGAGTGTTCAAAAACTGCTCTTTCCAAAGTAAGGTTCAACTCTGTGAGTTGAATGCACACATAACAAACAAGAAGTTTCTGAGAATTCTTCTGTCCTGGTTTATATGAAGAAATCCCGTTTCCAACGAAGGCCTCAAAGACGTTTAAATATCCACTTGCAGACTTCACAAACAGAGTGTTTCCAAACTGCTCTATGAAAAGAAAGGTTAAACTCTGTGAGTTGAACGCACACATCACAAAGTAGTTTCTGAGAATGATACTGTCTAGTTTTTATACGAAGATATTTCCTTTTGTACCATTGGCCTCATACTGCTAGAATTTTCCACTTGCAAATTCCACAAAAAGAGTGTTTCCAATCTGCTCTGTCTAAAGGAAGGTTCAACTCTGTGAGTTGAGTACACACACACAAAGAAGCTACTGAGAATTCTTTTGTCAAGAATTATAAGAAGAAATCCCGTTTCCAACGAAGGCCTCAAAGAGTTCCAAATATCCACTTGCACACTGCACAAACTAAGTCTTTCCAAACTGCTCTATGCAAAGAAATGTTCAACTCTGTGAGTTTAATACACACATCACAAAGCAGTTTCTGAGAATGATTCCCTCTAGTTTTTATACGAAGATAGCCTTTTCTACCATTGGCCTCAAGGCTCTTGGAATCTCTACCTGAAAATTCCGCAAAAAGCGTGTTTCCAATCCGCTCTGTCTAAAGGAAGGTTCAACTCTCTGAGTTGAATACATACATCCCAAAAGAAGTTACTGAGAATTCTTCTGTCTAGCATTATGTGAAGAAATCCCGTTTCCAACGAAAGCCTCAAAGAGGTCCAAATATCCAGTTGCAGAATTTACAAACTGACTGTTTCCAAACTCATCTATGAAAAGAAAGGTTAAACTCTGTGAGTTGAATGCACATATCACAAAGTAGTTCCTGACAATGACTCTGTCTAGTTTTTATACGAAGATATTCCCTTTTCCACCAATGGCCACAAAGTGCTTGAAATCTCCCCTTGCAAATTCCACAGAAAAGTGTTTCAAATCTGTACTGTCTGAAGGAAGGTTCAACCCTGTGAGTTGAATACACACACACAGAAAAAAATTCACTGAGAATTCTATTGTCTATCATTACACGAAGAAATCCCGTTTACTACGAAGGCCTCAAAGAGGTCCAAATATCCAGCTGCAGACATTACAAACTGAGTGTTTCCAAAGTGCTCTATGAAAAGAAGTGTTAAACACTGTGAGTTCAATGCACACATCCCAAAGCAGTTTCTGAGAATGATTCCGTCTATTTTTTCTACGAAGATATTTCCTTTTCTGCCGTTGGCCTCAAAGCGCTTGAAATCTCCACTTGCAAATTCCACAAAAAGAGAGTTTCAAATCTGCTCTGTCTAAAGGAAGGTTCAACTCTGTGAGTTGAATACACACCACAAAAAGAAGTTACTGAGAATTCTTCTGTCTAGCATTATATGAAAAATCCCGTTTCCAACGAAGGCCACAAAGAGGTCCAAATATCCACTTGCAGATTCTGCAAAAAGAGTGTTTCCAAACTGCTCTATGAAAAGAAACGTTAAACTCTGTGAGTTGAACGCAAACATCACAAAGTAGTTTCTGAGAATGACTCCGTCTAGTTTTTATACGAAGATATTTCCTTTCCTACCATTCACTTCAAAGCGCTTGAAGTCTCCCCCTGAAAATTCCACAAAAAGTGTTTCCAATCTGCTCCGCCTAAAGGAAGCTTCAACTCTGTGACTTGAATACCCACAACCCAAAGAAGTTACTGAGAATTCTTCTGTCTAGCATTATATGAAGAAATCCCGTTTCCAACGAAGGCCTCAAATACATCCAAATATCCAGTTGCTGACTTTACAAACTGAGTGTTTCCAAACTGCTCTATGAAAAGAAAGGTTAAACACTGTGAGTTGAACACACACGTACCAAAGTAGTTTCTGAGAATGATTCTGTCTAGTTTGCATACGAAGATATTTCCTTTTCTACCATTGGCCTCAAAGCTTTGAAATCTCCACTTGCAAATTCCACAAAAAGAGAGTTTCAACTCTGCTGTTTCTAAAGGAAAGTTCAACTCTGAGAGTTGAATACACACCAGAAAAAGCAGTTACTGAGAAGTCTTCTGTCTAGCATTATATGAAGAAATCCCATTTCCAACGAAGACTTCAAAGAGGTCCAAATATCCACTTGCAGATTCTGCAAAAAGAGTGTTTCGAAACAACTGTATGAAAAGAAAGGTTAAACACTGTGAGTTGAACGCACACATTGCAAAGCAGTTTCTGAGAATGATTCCGTCTAATTATTATACGAAGGTATTTCCTTTTCTATCATTGGCCTCAAAGCGCTTGATACCTCCACCTGAAAATTCCACAAAAAGAGTGTTTCCAATCTACTCTGTCTAAAGGAACGTTCAACTCTGTGAGTTGAATACACACACACAGAAAGAATTCACTGAGAATTCTTCTGTCTGGCATTACATGAAGAAATCCCGTTTCCAACGAAGGCCTCAAAGAGGTCCAAATATCCACTTGCAGATTCTGCAAAAAGAGTGTTTCAAAACCGCTCCATTAAAAGGAATGTTGAACTCTGTGAGTTGAATGCAAACATCACAACTCAGTTTCTGAGAATGCTTCTGACTAGTATTTTATGGTAAGATATTTCCTTTTCTACCGTAGGCTTCAATGCCCTCTAAATACACCCTTGCAAATTCTACAAAGAGACTGTTTCATAACTGCTCTATAGGAAGAAAGGTTCAACTCTGTGAGTTGAATGCAGAGATCACAACGTGGTTTCTGCGAATGATTCTTTGTAGTTTTTACATGAAGATATTTCGTTGTCAACCGTAGGCTTCAAAGCACTCAAAGTATTCACTTGGAACTTTTACAAAAAGAGTGTTAGAAAACCGCTCTTTCCAAAGTAAGGTTCAACTCTGTGAGTTGAATGCACACATAACAATCAAGAAGTTTCTGAGAATTCTTCTGTCCTGGTTTATATGAAAAAATCCCGTTTCCAACGAAGGCCTCAAAGACGTTTAAATATCCACTTGCAGACTTCACAAACAGAGGGTTTCCAAACTGCTCTATGAAAAGAAAGGTTAAACTCTGTGAGTTGAACGCACACATCACAAAGTAGCTTCTGAGAATGATACTGTCTAGTTTTTATACGAAGATATTTCCTTTCTACCATTGGCGTCAAAGCGCTAGAATTCTCCACTTGCAAATTCCACAAAAAGAGTGTTTCCAATCTGCTCTGTCTAAAGGAAGGTTCAACTCTGTGAGTTGAATACACACACACAAAGAAGCTACTGAGAATTCTTTTGTCAAGAATTATAAGAAGAAATCCCGTTTCCAACGAAGGCCTCAAAGAGTTCCAAATATCCACTTGCACACTGCACAAACTAAGTCTTTCCAAACTGCTCTATGCAAAGAAATGTTCAACTCTGTGAGTTTAATACACACATCACAAAGCAGTTTCTGAGAATGATACTGTCTAGTTTTTATACGAAGATATTTCCTTTTGTACCATTGGCCTCATACTGCTAGAATTTTCCACTTGCAAATTCCACAAAAAGAGTGTTTCCAATCCGCTCTGTCTAAAGGAAGGTTCAACTCTCTGATTTGAATACATACATCCCAAAAGAAGTTACTGAGAATTCTTCTGTCTAGCATTATGTGAAGAAATCCCGTTTCCAACGAAAGCCTCAAAGAGGTCCAAATATCCAGTTGCAGAATTTACAAACTGACTGTTTCCAAACTCATCTATGAAAAGAAAGGTTAAACTCTGGGAGTTGAATGCACATATCACAAAGTAGTTCCTGAGAATGATTCTGTCTAGTTTTTATACGAAGATATTTCCTTTTCCACCAATGGCCTCAAAGTGCTTGAAATCTCCCCTTGCAAATTCCACAGACAAGTGTTTCAAATCTGCACTGTCTAAAGGAAGGTTCAACCCTGTGAGTTGAATACACACACACAGGAAAAAATTGACTGAGAATTCTATTGTCTATCATTACACGAAGAAATCCCGTTTACTACGAAGGCCTCAAAGAGGTCCAAATATCCAGCTGCAGACATTACAAACTGAGTGTTTCCAAAGTGCTCTATGAAAAGAAGTGTTAAACACTGTGAGTTCAATGCACACATCCCAAAGCAGTTTCTGAGAATGATTCCGTCTATTTTTTCTACGAAGATATTTCCTTTTCTGCCGTTGGCCTCAAAGCGCTTGAAATCTCCACTTGCAAATTCCACAAAAAGAGAGTTTCAAATCTGCTCTGTCTAAAGGAAGGTTCAACTCTGTGAGTTGAATACACACCACAAAAAGAAGTTACTGAGAATTCTTCTGTCTAGCATTATATGAAAAATCCCGTTTCCAACGAAGGCCACAAAGAGGTCCAAATATCCACTTGCAGATTCTGCAAAAAGAGTGTTTCCAAACTGCTCTATGAAAAGAAACGTTAAACTCTGTGAGTTGAACGCAAACATCACAAAGTAGTTTCTGAGAATGACTCCGTCTAGTTTTTATACGAAGATATTTCCTTTCCTACCATTCACTTCAAAGCGCTTGAAGTCTCCCCCTGAAAATTCCACAAAAAGTGTTTCCAATCTGCTCCGCCTAAAGGAAGCTTCAACTCTGTGACTTGAATACCCACAACCCAAAGAAGTTACTGAGAATTCTTCTGTCTAGCATTATATGAAGAAATCCCGTTTCCAACGAAGGCCTCAAATACATCCAAATATCCAGTTGCTGACTTTACAAACTGAGTGTTTCCAAACTGCTCTATGAAAAGAAAGGTTAAACACTGTGAGTTGAACACACACGTACCAAAGTAGTTTCTGAGAATGATTCTGTCTAGTTTGCATACGAAGATATTTCCTTTTCTACCATTGGCCTCAAAGCTCTGAAATCTCCACTTGCAAATTCCACAAAAAGAGAGTTTCAAATCTGCTGTTTCTAAAGGAAAGTTCAACTCTGAGAGTTGAATACACACCAGAAAAAGCAGTTACTGAGAAGTCTCTTCTGTCTAGCATTATATGAAGAAATCCCATTTCCAACGAAGACTTCAAAGAGGTCCAAAGTACCCCAATATATATTATATACTGTACATGAAATATCAAAGTTCACAAACTATATATTATATACTGTACATAAAATATCAAAGTACCCAAGGTATATATTCTATAGTGTACAAAAAATATCAAAGTACCCAAAGCATGTATTATATACCGTACATAAAATATAAAATTACATCAAATATATATTTTATTCTGTACATAAAATATCAAAGTACACCAGATATATATACTATAGTGTACATAAAATATCAAAGTACCCAAACTATACATTATACACTGTACATAAAATATGAAATTACATCAAATATATATTAGGTACATAAAATATGAAAGTACATCAAATATAGATTACATACTGTAAATATAATATCAATGTACCCCAAATATATATTTTATACTCTACATGAAATATCAAAGTTCACAAACCATATATTAT